>NC_000003.12:161584361-161887392 GCF_000001405.40 Homo sapiens
CGTTTTCCAGCTTCCAGAGAACGCTCGAATTCCTTGGCACCTAGCCCCTTTCCTCCATCCTCAAAGCCAGCAATCTGAGTAATTTGAGTCTGACTCTTCTTCTGGGGTCACACCTCCCATTTGACTCCAGCTGTTAAAGGTCCTCCACTTTTAAACCTCCGTGCGATTAGCTGAACTTACTCAGATAATCCAGAATCATTTTTATTTTTCTATATCAACATCCTTAATTTAATCCCATCTGCAAAATCCCTTTTGCCATGTAAGTTAACCTATTCAAGTTCTAATGGTTCTAGGCATTAGAACATGGCCATCTCTGTGTATATTGGTGGCACCATTCTGCCCATCACACTGTAGATTGAAATTTTTATAAAAAGTTCTGTGTAACATAAAAGTTTGAAGATGTTTGAATCTGGCATTCTGAATGGTGGTTTTTTTAGCGTGGCTTTCTTTTTTCTCTATAAAATCAACAAAATATTTCATCATTTTCTGAAATCTTTACCAGCCCCGTTATGCCTTAAATGTGTACAGAAGCTTCTATATTACACATAAATTGTTTTTCTTTCAATTGTTTCCTCTCCCCAAGTATTCTTTCCTTTTATTTGTGCATTATCTTTATGTCAAAGCATTTCTCAACTTGACATTTTCTTTCCAAGGTTTTAGCCTCCCATTGCACAGGCTTTTTATTGCTTCATAGGAGAAACTCATCACAAAGTTGTTTTTATTCACCACCTGATTACTTTACTTTTTGACACCAACATCATTTTAACCTCTGATGTTTCATATTTGAAAGAGGTTGTAGATGAAGACAATTAAAATTGTATTAGTGTTCTTGGCTAAGTGTCAGTTTTAAAATAGATTTATGTTCATGTGGTTTAAACATATACATATGTATATATGTGTATATGTGTATGTATATATGCATGTGTTTTATGAACTTTCGTTTATAATTTCTTCCCATTATATTATTACCTGGCAGCTGACTACCTGTGATATATAGTTAGACTGCCAAACACTTTGAGTTCTACAGAGAGTACAAATGCAGGTAGAAAGGGTTGGAAAGGTACAACCATCAACAGATTATAAATGCTCTTGTTGTTACCTGTTTCCAAAGACTGTACAAGCCTATGCTATGAGAGTTCCTATTAACTCATTCACACAGATATTTGGACTTAGAATTAAATCTCTTTAAGCAAGTCTTAATTTAAAAAGTACATGACCAGCAAATTTGTATGTCTATTCCACTTAGTAAGAAGGACTAAAAAACTTCTCACAGGTTTTGTCATTTAATTTGTTCTGTCCCTACATTTTTGTAAATGTTATGGCTGTTCTTTGACAAGTCTCTAATTTTTCAAATAGAATGACCGTTCATGAGAGGATTTCAATTTTCAGTACTTGGCTTTTTGTCTTTTTTTCCTCCTTAAATATACAGCTTAAATTGTGAAAAAGCCAGTTTGAACTTCAGCTACTCAAATTTAAATACCAACCAAAGTCTCCTTAAATCCTATGATATTTTGATTTGTGCTCAAATCCCTACATTTTTATGTCACATTAGAGGAACTCTGACCTTTCTACTCCTTAGCTGGAAGGATAGGAGAGCCTAATGTCTGGATCATTCTGGAGGCTCTACTTTTTAAATTTTCTTTAACTGCCTTTGTTTCCAAAGTTTGAACTATGAATAAATTCCTTTGCAGATTGGTAGTATTATTTTGAGCCTCTCAAGAAGTGGGGTGTGTGACAGGGATGGTTGGTAAATAAACATAAAGCTTGACATTATCATTGTGTGGGGCCACTGGGAGGTCAGGTTATAGGAGTGGCTTTTAGAAAACTTGTTTCCTTAATCTCTGAATTAAAACATATAAATATTTTGAAAATCATATTTCAATATAAACTAACCTAATTTAGGAAAGTATTCAGGACTTTAAAATAGTCACTGGATAAATTTAAAATAATGTTACTGCTCAGTTTGTGAAAATATTCAGGTCAACTTACACCGATTTGAAAATATTATATTTACAGACAAATGGCACAAATATATCACAGGCGTAAAAATTGGTTTATAAAACAATCTAAACATTACATGCAGAGTCAAGATATTTTAAGGATGTGCTTGAGGGAGTGCAAACCTTCATTTCATGGGAAAATAAAGAACTCCGTGCTAAGGAAATTGGTGTTATGCTAGAAAATTCCCTATCTGAAATATGTATACAAATTGTGAAGGGGAAAAGAAAGCCATCTGTCTAACACATGACTTCCAAGTATTCAAGAAAAAAGTCAAGACTTTAATGGGTATAGCTCAATATTTTAATTTTTCCATTAAAAATCTTTCAATATTTAATTCTTACACACTTGAGCATTGATTGGGTGAAAGGATGTGCAGTTTGCTGTGGAGTATTCAAAGTTGATTTTAACATGGCCTATGCACTCATGGCCACTTAATAGGAGAGAAAAATCATGCATGCAAATAATTACTGAACTTTGTAGAGTGTTTGCTTCCATAAAAAAGGTAGAGTTTAAATATGGGACTTCAGAGGGCAAATAATTACATTCAGCTGGTTCAGGAAAAGTTTGGTGGAATTAGTATTTGAATTACACCTTGAAGGTTATTTATAACTCTGGGTATTCAGAAGGAACAATACAGGGAAGATATGGAAGAGAGGAGGAGCAGAGGATGTAGTTCAAGTGCAAATACAAAAGGACAGAATGAGACAAAGGACACACATACCAAACTGGCACTCCTTAGGCCATCTGAAGGCATACTTTCATTGGCTTGAAAAAGATCAACTTTTCTTCTGAATTAGTTTTCTGCATTTAAAAATCAGGAGATTCTCTATTAAAATACAGAGTCCTGGCTTCTCTTGAGATGCCAGGCCCACTTGGGTTCATGGTAATGATCACCTGGAGCTGAGTAGTGCAACCTCCTTCAGGTGTGGCCTGTGGCTTCCATTGTTTTTTTTTTTGCGCCAAGATTACTTCACACATTTTCTTACCCTGCCTTGTCTCTGTTGGCTTTAGAGACTTCAACCACTGTGTTAGAGCCAGATCATGAAGTGTCTTGTATGAATAAGCTAGTAAATTTAACTTTTTATCTCTTGTAAAAAAAAAAAAAGGGCTTTTGAGAAAAAGAGTGTTGTAACCAGAACAGTGCTTCAGAAAGATCTGAGAGCTGACTGGGCGCGGTGGCTCATGCCTGTAATCCCAGCACTTTGGGAAGCCAAGGTGGGTGGGTAACCTGAGGTCAGGAGCTCAAGACCAGCCTGGCCAAAATGGCGAAACCCTGTCTCTACTTAAAATACAAAAATTAGTGGGGTGTGGTGGTGGGCGCCTATAATCCCAGCTACTTGGGAGGCTGAGATGGAGAATCGCTTGAACCCAGCCTGGGTGACAGAATAAGACTCTGTTTCCAAAAAAAAAAAAAAAAAAAGATCTGAGACCTGTATTTTAGATGAATTGAAATGGTAAGAATTAAGGGTGGAGAGAATAGTTAGGAAGCTACAAAATAAATCAGGTAAGAAATGAGGTTGAAACTAGGAGAGAGTGGCAACTTAAAGAAATTATGAAAGTGGAATGTATGAGATGTGTGAGCATGCAGTGGTATGTTCATCATAGCACTATTCACAACAGCACATACATGGAATCAACCTAGGTGCCATCAATGGTGGATTAGATAACAAAAATGTGGTACATATACACCATGGAATACTATTGCAGCCACAAAAAAGAATGAAATCATGTCTTTTGTAGCCACATGGATGCAGCTGGAAGCCATTATCTTAAGTGAATTAATGCAGAAACAGAAAATTGAATATTACATGTTTTCACTCATAAGTGGCAGCTAAATACTGGGTACTTGTGGATATGAAGATGACAATAATAGACACTGAGGACTAATAGAGGGGGGAGGAAGATAAAAATGGGGGCAAGAGTTGCAAAACTAACTGTTGGGCACTATGCTCAGTATCCGGGTGACAGGATCGTTTGTATTCTAAACCTCAGCATCATACAATATACTCATGTAACAAAGCTGCACATTTACACCCTGAATCTAAAACAGGAGTCGAAATTAAAGAAAAAGATATGCCAGACATGGTGGCTCAAGTGCTGTAATCCCAGCACTTTGGGAGGCTGAGGAGGGAGGATTGCTGGAGCCCAGGAGTTGGAGGACAGCCTGAACACATGGTGAACACTTGTCTCTATAAAAATTATGTTAATTAGCTGAGTTTGATGGTGCATGCCTGTAGTCCAAGCTACTCAGGAGATGGAAGCAGGAGGATCACCTGAGCCTGGGATATGGAGGCTGCAGTGAGGCATGATCACAACATTGCACTTTAGCCTGGGTGACAAAGCAAGACACCGTATAAAAAAAAGTTTGAGGTTTGAGAGAGAGAATAATTCAAATGTCTTATTTGTCTCCATCTCTATCTTCTACCAAGTGCCTACATAATATTTAATTTGTGTTTAAAGGATATCAGAGAAAACAACCCTATGAAGCTTTTGGTTTTATTTATTATAAGAATGCCAAGGATATTGTTTATATATTACATAGAATCTTTTCAGGATAACTCATTGAAGAAATTTCTCTTTAGTCTTGGTAGTAGGAGCACGTGTGCTTATACTGTACTGCTGTGTGGTTTTTCTTTGTATGGACAATGTAAACATGTAACTACTCATATTTATCATTTTTCTTTGGCTGATATAGAAATCTCAGAGCCACAAGTGTGCCCACATAATTTTACAACATGTACTTTGTGTACTAACTTTATTCTTGGCTCCATCTTAAGTTTTATTTTTAAATCTTTTTTCTTTGGTCTCATTGTGCTTTCTACTTATTTTTAAAGTATTTATGTAACTTTACAGTTTTTTTAAAGATTGCCTTACATCCTTTTAAGAACAATCTAGTGTATAAAGAATATATTGTAATCATATTAACTATTCTCATGTTTAAATTAAGCCCCCAATTTTTACCGTCTATGGCTCTATAAAGATCAAATAGAAAGGTAACTAGATTTGCTAGAAAGTAAACTAAGGTATGCCCTTAATGAAGATTCCTAAGGTTTGAAAATCCAGGATAAATGCATAGACCTCAAGAAAATCCAAGAAATAATACTCAGAAAAGGGTAAATATTAAAGATATGTTACCAAGTTGGTACAAGCCAATAAAAGATCTTGCTCCATTATAAAAGACTATTTAAAAACACACATTCCAACATAACTTAATATAACATTCATCTTGATTTGGATATAATTTTAACCTGGAGTTATGTCTAAAAAATGTTTTCCAGGCTTGGGAAAAATCTCTTTGCCTGTGACCGAAATATTGATTAAGGAATATAACCCACTGTATTAGTCCATTCTCACTCTACTAATAAAGACATACCCAAGACTGGGTAATTTATAAAGGAAAGAGGTTTAATTGACTCACAGTTCAGCATGACTGGGAAGGCCTCAGGAAACTTAGAATCATGGTGGAAGGGAAAGCAACCATGTTCTTTTTCACATGGTGGCAGCTAGGAGAAGTGCCAAGCAAAAGGGGGGAAAATCCCCTTGTAAAACCATCAGATCCCATGAGAACTCACTTACTATCATGGGAACAGTAGCATGTGGGTAACCCTCCCCATGATTCAATTACCTCCCACTGGGTCTCTCTCATATCACATGGGGATTATGGAAACTACAGTTTAAGGTGAGATTTGGGTTCTGACACAGCCAAAGCATATCATTCTGCCCCAGCCCCTTCCAAATCTCATGTCCTCATATTTCAAAACATAATCATGCCTTCCCGATAGTCTCCCAAAGTCTTAACTCATTCCAGCATTAACTCAAAAGTCCAAAAGTCTCATCTGAGACAAGGCAAGTCCCTTCCACCTATGAGCCTACATAATCAAAAGGAAGTTAGTTCCTTCCTAGATACAATGGGGGTACAGGCATTGGATAAATGCACCCATTCCAAATGGGGGAAATTGGCCAAAACAAAGGGGATACAGGCCACATGAAAGTCCAAAATTTAGCAGGACAGTCAAATCTTAAAGGCTCTGAAATTTTCTCCTTTGACTCCATGTCTCATATCCAGGTCACACTGATGCAAGAGGTGGGCTCCCACAGCCTTGGGAGGCTCTGCCCATGTGGCTTTACAGGTTACAGACTCCCTCCTGGCTGCTTTCACTGGCTGGCGTTGTGTCTGTGGCATTTCCAGGAGCATGGTGTAAGCTGTCAGTGGATCTACCATTTTGTGGCCTGGAGGACAGTGGCTCTTTTCTCACAGCTCCACTAGGCAGTGCCCCTGGTGGGGACTCTGTGTGTGGGCTCCAACCCCACATTTCCTTTCTGTGCTGCCCTAGCAGAGATTCCCCATGAGGGCCCCACCCCTGCATCAAACTTCTGCCTGGACATACAAGTGTTTCCATACATCCTTGAAATCTAGTCAGAGGTTCCCAAATCTCAATTCTTGACTTCTGTGCATGGACAGGCCCAATACCATGTGGAAGCTGCCAAAGCTTGGGGCTTGCACCCTCCGAAGCAATGGCCCATGTTGTATGTTGGCCCCTTTTAGCCACACCTGAAGTGGCTGGGATGCAAGGCTGCACACAACAAGGGGGGCCTTGAGTCCAGCCCACAAAACCATTTTTCCATCCTAGGCCTCTGGACCTGTGATGGGAAGGACCTCTGTGAAGGTCTCTGACATGCCCCGGAGACATTTTCCCCTTTGTCTTGGCGATTAACATTTGGTTCCTCATTAGTTATGCAAATTTCTGCACCAGGCTTGAATTTCTCCCCAGAAAATGAGTTTTTCTTTTCTACTGCATTTTCAGGCTGCAAATTTTCCAAACGTTTATGCTCTGTTTCCTCTTTAAATCTTTGGTGCTTAGAAATTTCTTTTGCCAGATACCCTAAATCATCTCTCTCAAGTTCAAAGTTCCACAGATCTCTAGAGCAGGGGCAAAATGCCACCAGTCTCTTTGCATAGCAGGAGTGACTTTTACTCCAGTTCCCAACAAGCTCTTCATCCCCATCTGAGACCACCTCAGCCTGAATTTTATATCACTGTCAGCATTTTGGTCAAAATCATTCAACAAACCCCTAGGAAGTTCCAAACTATCCCACATCTTCCTGTCTTCTTCTGAGTCCTCCAAACTGTTCCAACCTCTGCCTGTTACCCACTTCCAAAGTTGTTTCCACATTCCCAGGTATCCTACAACAGTGCCCCACTCTACCAGTACCAATTTACTGTATTAATCCATTCTCATGCTGCTAATAAGGACATACCCAAGACTGGGTAATTTATAAAGGACAGAGATTTAATTGACTCACAGTTCAGCATGGCTGGGGAAGCCTCAGGAAACTTACAATCATGGGGGAAGGGGAAGCAAACACGTCCTTCTTCACATGGTGGCGGCTAGAAGTGCAGAGTGAAGGTGTGGAAAACCCCTTATAAAACCATCAGATCTCTTGAGAACTCACTCACTGTTAGGAGAACAGCTGCCCCTATGATTCAATTATTTCCCACTGTATTCCTCCCACAACATGTGGAAATTATGAGGACTACAATTTAAGATGAGATTTGGGTGGGGACACACCCAAACCATATCACCCACTGAATTCAAACATCTTACTAACAAGTGAATACTAATCTGGTAGTTTTATTTCTTGAATTTTCAAACAATTATATGTGCTCATTCAATATCCTTTTTACATTTTGGAAATTCTGAAATAAGCATGAGATGCTTCCATCCCTTGGAATAGAAAGGAATTAAGCCCTAGACTATGAAAAATACATTCATGGTGAAATATTAAGCAGACTGAAATAATTGAACATGCAATCTTTGTTTATATAAGGAAGTTAATTTTACTTGCAAGGACTGGGAAAATAGTGTGGTATTGTCTATTTTATTTGAAGTTAATATTTATAATATATTCTAATTTAGAGAAAAAATATTAGCCTGGGAGTCAGGCTTATATCCGATCTGCCACCAATTGGCTGAATGACTTTCAGCAAATTAGTTGATTTCTCTTCATTTCCTTTGTATCTAAAATGGCAAAGGTGTCTTTGAACTAGACGATATCCAAAGACCCTTCCAATTCTAATACTGTATGATTTTTTTCATCTATTATCCATATGTTGCAAAAAGATTCATGCTGGACAAGTCCTCTGTATGTATGAAGAGGTCCTTTTGGTTTGAGGCTTACTCTTTTAAGAGTTTCCTTTTGGTTTAACATTTGTCGCTTTGCTTTGTGCCTGCCTATTTTAAATTTGACTCTATCATTGGCAAGCTTCATAAAGTGAATGGAAATAGATCATGCTGAACAGAAGGAAGACTGATTAAAGAGAAAGATGAACAAAGCTGAAGAAGAATAAGAGGAATGTATAGAAGCTCAGAAAATAGTTAATCAAGAGAGTAGAAAGATAGGATTGAGAACCGCGACCTCAAACATCTTTTGATTCGGGAGATATTTCAATATGCTGTGACATTTTACCACTGTATTTAGAATTAACTATATGGATAGATTTCTGCAGACCATTTCTATATGCCAAGGACCATGGGTCAAAGGTATTTGGATCACCTTATCCACCCTTTATTTATGTTGTGCCTTTTATTGACGTCTGAATACAATGTGTCTGCTCTTAATTTATCCAGTCCATTTATAATCAAATCTACTGTTAAATTTTCAGAGCTCATTCCTTTTAAAGAAAAGTGATTTTAAAACTCTGTAGTTTCTGGGGCACATTCTCTCTTGTTTCTTCTTTGACCTCCCTGACTAATTTTTTTCTGGTTCCTTCTTATCTTTGGGATGGATTTCTAAAAGTTTAAATGCCCCGGGACTCCCTTCTTAGGCCTCATGCTGTCTTTTGAATATTTTTCACTTGTTTTCTTTTTCTTTTATAATAGAGACAGGGTCTCACCAGCTCAGGCTGGTCTTGACTTCCTGGCCTCAAGTGTTCCTCCCACCTTGGCCTCCCAAAGCACTTGGATTGCAGGTGTAAGCCACTGCACCCGGCCTATTGTACCTTTTTTCTGCACTGATCATTAGGTGGTCTCATTCAGTCCTGTTGTACTCCATACCGTCTATATGCTAAAAACTCTCAATGACCAGAACTCCAGTACAGATATTGTCAGGGAAACTTGCTAGTAATACAAAGCTGATTTATTAAACTTGATGGCAAGGGAGAACTTTTTACCTTTAAGAGAACTAGCAGTCTCTCACAAGGGAGACTTAAGGAAGGATGCTTACAGGGCTTTTATGGCTAGAGTTAGTCATATGATAGTTTTAACATGGAAGTAAGTAAGTTTGTCTGGGCAGGGATTGGTCAGAATTGGATGAGTTGTTATTCAGTGCCACTTTGTTAGAAAGGCCTCCTTTGATTACTTTGATTACCTTGATACAAAAGAACAACTCTACTGCAACTTTCTACCCACTAAAACTGCTTGAAGATTAACTCTCACCACTTGACATATTTTACATAGATTTATTTATTTATTTTTTGTTGGATTCCTCCTGTAAAGCTTCAGTGATGCAGGGCTGTGGTAGCACTTAGAACAAAACCAAACACATAACAGGCATTGGAGAAGAAATGAATAAATGATACTCTTAATTAATGCTAGCTGTAATTACTACTTTTAACTCTTAATTCTTTAGTAATTATTTCCTAGCTTAAATTTGTGATTATAGTTGAAGCCGTTTCAAGGACTGCAGTCAGTTGGTTCCTAGCAGAGGCTCATCTGTTTGAGGACCAGCCTGTCTGTTTATGTCTGGGAATCTCCTCTTTCAGATGGTGATAGTTCCAGGTGACCAGTCCAAGGCAGTGGTTAGTGGACATGAAACATGTGATCTCTTGTTTTGCTTCACTTGTTTTTTTTTTGGTTTTATAAGACTCAGTATAAAGGGAAGCAAATGGAATTCTTTTTTATCTTCTAATTTTCTTTTCCTTTCTCATTTCTCATTTTCCTCCTGCTCCCAACAAACCTCCTCTTTCTTTCTTTTTTTTTTTTTTTTAAATGAGGGAGATTGTTAGATTTGCACTTTACTTAACCATTGAAAAATGACTTGATCTAATTTTGTTACAGTAGAAAAAAACTGATTTTGACTTCTGCAAAACCTTTACAGAACTTTCTCAAAGCTGTGCTTCACAGTCAATACTTAAACTTACAACCAGTTTTAATGTACATAAACAATGGAGTGTGCAACATGAGTGCTCCAATTTGGGAATGAACCACATGTTTGAGAATACATTTCATTTTATGTGGGGTATCCATTTGTGATTTGTACTTGTTTCCTGAATTAGAATTTGGAATCAGATAAGATGACAGCTGGAATTGTACTTGAAGCAGTGAAGAAGCTAAGGAAGTGCATACTACTTTTTGTTTGTTTGTTTTAGTAAATTTTCTTTTGTTTTTGATTTGTATCAATGTAATACATGCCCTAGTTGAAACTTTTTTAAGTACCGAGCAGCTTATAATGTTTAAAATAGAAACAGCACCAATCCCTTCTATATTTTCCATTCTTTGGCCAAGTCTCAGTCTCAAAGGATAATTGCTTTGAACATCAAAGATTTTTTTCTAGTATTTAACTTTACTTTTACAAATAATATGCTTATATTGCTATTTCTTGATGTATAAAGTCTAAATTTTATCTATTGACTTCATGTTATGGAGGGTGAGCATTTAGCTATCCTACATCACTCATCCAAATCTCTTCCCTTATCCTTCTAATAGAATTATACCATAGTGAAACAATAACTTTTATTACTATAACTGCACATAGCATTCTCTGAGAAAATAAGTAATATATTACAATTGTATTTCCTTTCTTAAACAACGTTTGCTTTTCCTGAGGTTAACAATTTACCTCTAGTTAATTTATTTCTTTTCCTATAATTGCCAATTATACAATTCTGTTTTTGATAGCTATCCTTAATTTTTCAGGGTTTTATCACATCTCCCATTAGGGTCATGGAATTGGATAATTCTAAGCAGCACCATTCACTCTGAAATTGTATAACTAGTGGTCTTGTAAACCCATCAATAGTATTTTCCAATCCCCATTTGTATTTCCATATAAATTTTAGAATCAGCTTACCAATTTCTACCAATAAAAGGGACAAGAATTTTGTTTAGGATTGCATTAATTCGACATGTCAGTTTTAAGAGAACTGACATCTTAATATTTAGTCTTCCAATCCACGGACAAGGTATGTTTCTCTATTAATTATATCTTCTTTAATTTCTCATGGTATAATATTATAGTTTCAGTGTAGAGGTCTTGAACACCTTTTTTAAGATTTATCTCTAATGCTACTTAAATAGTATTATTTGATAATTTCAGTGTCTAATTTTTTGATGCTACTACATAAAAATAAAACTATTTTTTTTCTGTATTCACCTGGTATCCTGCAACTTGCTAAACTCACTTTTTATAAATAGTTACAGCATTTTTATAAATGTCATTGTTTTATATATAGATCATGATATCTATGAATAAACAGATTTAATTTTTCATTTCTAATTTACATGCTTTTTATTTTTCTCACCTTATTTCTCACTTTATTGCACTATATTGTACAGTAAGATGAACAGGAATAGTGAGAGGAACATCCTTGTGTTTTTCCTAATTTTAGGAGTAAAACATTCAGTTGTTTTGTCATTAGGTGTTTCTTAATATTATTAATAGGCTTTTTATAAACACCATATATCAAATTGAGGATGTTTCCTTCTATTCCTAGTATGCTAGAATTTTTATGATACATGGATGTTGGATTTTGCCAAATGTTTTCTCTATGTTTATTGAAATTATTGTTTTTCTTCTCTATGGTTACTGAAATTATGGTTTTTCTTAGTTCCTTATATGGTAAATTAAATTGTTTGACTTTTAAATGTTAAGCTAACCTTATGTTTTGGTGTAAACCCTACTTCTTCTTGATGAATTTGCCTTTTATATATGGATGACTCCATCTACTAAAACCTCGCTTAGAATTTTTGCATCTATTTTTGTGAGGAAATGTAGTTTTCTTTTCTTCTAATGTCTTTATTAGATTTCAAGACCACAGTATTGATGACCTCATAGAATAAATTGAGAAGTAGTTCTTTCTCTTCAATTTTCAAGAAAATTTTGCAGAATTCATATATTTCTTAATAGTTACTTAGGTATGCCTTCAAGTTCATTAATTTACCAGTGAAGTAATTTGGATCTGGAGTTGTTGCTGTAAGAAAATTTTTGTTTTACTACAAATTAAGTTTCCTTAATGGATTTAAGACTACTGACATTATCTAGTACTTCTTGGGTAATCTTTGGTAGCTTGTGTTACTCAAGAAATTTTTCTGTTCCATCTAAGTTTTTGAATTTACTGACATAAAGTTATTCATAATATTCTATTGTTATTTTCTCTGATATTGGCCATTTGTCTCTTTTCTCTTTTTGTCCTGATCAGTCTGGATAGAGATTTCTGCATTTTATTGATATTAAAGGTCATTTCCTATAGGTGGTATATATTGGGTCTTGCTTTTTCTAACCACTGTGACAACCTTGCCTTTTAACTGGTAATCTTTACACTATTTGTATTTAATGTGATTATTGATATGGTTAGATTTAAGACAGTCATTATTTGTGTTCTGTCGCCTCATTTGTTTTTTGTTCTCTTTTTCCTTCTTTTTATTACTTCTTTTGGATTATCTTTTATGACTCTATTTTACCCCCTTTGGTGGCTTATTAGTTATAAATGCTTTTTTTTATTTTAATGCTTGCTTGTTGCTATGGCATTCTTTGTCACAGCATACTGTGAAGTGATAATGCACTCCTTTATGTATAGTATAAGAACCTCAACATGGTATCCTTCTATTTCTCTCCTCTGGCCTTCCTGCTATGTTTGTCATATATTTTACTGTTGCATTTATTTGAAACTTCATAATAACAGTGCTATATTTTTTACACATTTGATTATCTTTAAAAGAGATTTAAGTAATATAAGTAATTCCTGTATATTTACCCATATAGTTAGCATTCTGTGCATTCTTTATTATTTTGCATAGATCCAGTTTCCATCTAGTATCATTTCCCTCTGACTGAAAGAATTCCTTTAATTTTTTTTTGTAATATGCATTTAACAGTAATGAATTTATTCAGCTTTTGCATGTCTAATAGCACCCTTGTTTTGCCTTCAATTTTGAAAGCTAGTTTCTCTGAGTATAGACTTGGTCTTCTAGCACCCACTTTTGCGTATTAAGGAATCTGATTCCATTCTGATTCTTGTTGAGTTTACCTCCAGAAGCTTTTAGGATCATCTCTTTATCTCTGATGACTGGATATTTCATCAATTATTTCAGAGTAATGGGTTTTGGTGTTTATCTTTCTGTGGGGAAACTTTCCTGGCCCTTTCCATCTAGAACCTAGTAACCTTTATTTCTGAGAAATTTTATATTTCTTCAACAATTTTCACTCTTTTGCTATCTATGTTTTTTATCTAAAAGTGCTAATTTTTATTTACATTTAATTTAATTACATTTTATGTTGATTTCCTTGATTGACTTTCTGTGACGTAACTTTGAGTCTCTATGACTTAACGTTTTCCTCTTGTGTTTGTGGTTATTTCATTTTAATTTCCAGGTAATCTCTTAAACTATATATTCCTACTTGTTATGGGCATGTTTTGTTATCATAGTTTTAATGTTCAAGAGTTCTTTCTGATTTTTTCTTTTCCTTTTAAACATTGTTTTCTCATTTTTTAAATGTAATTTTGTTTTTCTGTTTCAATGCATTCCACTGTATTTTACTTTTTCTTTTTTTTTTCGGAGTCTCGCTCTGTCGCCCAGGCTGGAGTGCAATGCACGATCTTGGGCTCACTGCAACCTCCACCTCCTGGGTTCAAGCAATTCTCCTGCTTTAGCCTCCCAAGTAGCTGGGATTACAGATGCCCACGACCATGCCCGGCTAAGTTCTGTATTTTTAGTAGAGATGGGGTTTCACCATATTGGCCAGGCTGGTCTTTTGGCCAGGCCGTATATTTTACTTTTAGAACTTTTATTTTCTCACTGTCTGTTTTATCTGCGTGGATTTTTTTTTTCTGTTTGTTTTGTTTGGGTGTCTTTCTTCAGTTATTAGTGGTCCTTGCTTGAATATCCTTTTAGATTGCAGTGGGGCACTATAAAGTGGAATGTGTTACCCATTGAGCATTTGAGAAGCATTGTCTTCACTGCAGGGTGCTTTTCAAAAAACTAATTTACTTTATTGGGGAACTCCTAATTGTTAATATGGAAAGATATATTTATGTATTTTCTTTAAGGTCAATTTTCTTTCCTGTGAAAAATAGCCTGGCTATAGGAGTTTTGGGAAGCAGGAAGAAATAGTGGGGCTCCCATCATTTGCATACAGACTTCTTTTAAATCTCATGTTTCATCTTGCCCTTTACTGCACAAGATGTCTTTGAGTCCCAAACCACTTCCTTTTTATTTGTCCTGAGAATAAGCCTGCTACCTCCTGTCTGAGGTGGGGTATGCAAGTCACTCTGTGTGTGGGAGGTGTCATCCAGCCCCATGTGATGGCAAGAGACTCTGGGGGTTTGTATGTTCCATATACAGGTGTCAACTAATCCTGCATTTTAGCTCCTGGTCTCACTCCACTTTTCTGTGGTATCTGCCGTCAACATCAGTACTCTCGCAGGAGCAAATATGCATGCTTCTTGGAGATATCTCCTGTGGGTACTTTAGATTGTAGCTTTTTCTACTCTACTAAATCAGTTACTATTCTTCCATTCCATTAAACATTTTTGTCTGCTGTCATTTACACTTCTGTTCTAATTGTTCATGTGGGTTCATACTTTTTTTATTTTAAACTTTACTATGCATGGAATCATCTAGAGGGTTTGTTCATATCAAGCCTTCACTGGAGGTTTGTTTTTGTTTTTAAACTTTACTACATTCAAGTTAAGCTTAAAATTGCCCCCAAAGACTTCTGGCTGCATTTAAAAGAGATTTAGAGAAGCGGCAGGGAAAGTTTTTGCACAGCACATGTGAGTGCTGCGCAATGCACTTCATCCTCCCTTGCATGTAAAGTCGCTTTTTCTCCATTTTAAGGGTGAGGAAACAAAGGTTTATAACATTAAGAAATTTCTCCAGGCCATAAAAAAAGAATCCAGATTTATATGTGTTGCAATTTTGTGCTTTTTTTCCTACACACCAGTGCGTCTCAACACATAAGACAACAAATCAGTTGCGTTTGTCTGGGGACTGTTCTGGTTTTGGTACTGAAGTCCTGCATCCCTGGGACTCCTCAGTGCCAGGCAAAATAGGATGGTTCTGGTTGCACACTAAAACCACCAGAGGAGTTTTTAAAAATACAAATACGGTGGTCTTGTTTTCATGAGAATCTGGTTTAATGATTTTTTTAAAAGTCAGAATGATGTGATTCTAATGAGCAGCTAGAGTTGTGAACCACTGCCTTTTATGTGCTGCTGTGAAGCAAGTCAACAGCTTGGATTCCATTATCTTTTAATCCTCACATGGTATGTAAACTACTAGATCCGGTGGTTATTGGCACACACAATATAACAAAGGTGTAGTCTATAGACTGAGGTTATTGGTCAAGCTGGCCTGCTGCCTGTTTTTGTAAATAAAATTTTACTGGAATATAATCATGCCCATCATTTACAGATTGTAAATGGCTGCTTTCTCCCTGTTGCTGTTAACTGCAGAGTTGAGTAGTTTGATACTAGAGGGTCCACAAATCCTGAAATATTTACACACTGGTCTTTTATATAAAATTTTTTTTCTGACTCTTGCTGCAGACCCTAATACAAATAAAAACCAAAACCAAAAGAAATAAAAAAGCTGCCATACTAGAAGTGCCACTGGGCACTTAAGGGAAAGGAATTTTTCTTGAATCAACCTAGTTCTCAGGCCTGAGGAGGAAGATAAGTTGTGAAAGGTACTGTTTGCCTTTCCAACTTTAATGTGCGTGTGTATGACGTAAGGACCTTGTTAAAACGCAGTTTCTGACTCAGTAGTGTGAATGGGGCCAGAATGCTGCATTTCTAACACTCTCCCAGATGGTGCCAATGTTCCTCATCCACAGACCACAGCTGAAGTAGCAACTATGTAAACCTCAGGCTACTCATCACAGTGCAGAGTGATTTCACCTAAAGGCACAACAGCAGCTGATTGCCACAATACAAACAAGAGCCGCCACTTACTGACAGCAGCTACGTGCCAGGTAAGTCAAATGAGGAAGAACACCTTCAGTGTGGGGGAGAAATGGGTCTTCAACGTCATCTTAGACCAGTGGCTCTCAAAGTATATAACAGCAGCGTCAACATCAGCATTATCTGGGAACGTGTTGGAGATGTGAATTCTTGGGTTCCACTTCAGACAACGAATCAGAAATTCTGGGGTAAGGCACTCTAAGTTTTAATAAACCCTCCAGATGATTCCATGCATAGTAAAGTTTGAGAATCACTGTGTTGGAAGTTAAAGGTTTTAGACTGAAATTGCTCATGCAGCTATGAGGATAGCACAAGCTTACAAAGATGGCTAACTTTGTATCTAACTCTGGGAAGAGGCTGTGAAATCTGGGAAGGCACAGGTATGGTGTTCAAGGTGTAGATAAACTGAATAATGAAACATTTCCCAATCTGCCGGAGATGGTTTCACTCTGACACTGTAGAAGGGCAACAGGATCAGGTGTGCCACATAGGCCTGAGGTACCACAAGTTCTTGACTCAGTCAATGAGTAAAAAATGTTTTATGTGGAGAAAAAAGTGAAAGAAAAAAAAGTCAGCAGGGTATTTAATTTTGTAATTGAATTCATTTCTTTTGTTGATTTTGCTCTAAGTTGATATTTCCTCTATATTTTAGAAAATTAAACTATAAAATAAGCATGTTCATAATAGAAAAATTAGAAATAAAAATTTTAATATTTTTATTAGAATAAGAATAGTAAATTAAAATTACCTATAGTCATACTTAATGCCAAAATAATGTATGAGTGTTTCTAATTTTCTAAACCCTAACACTGGTTATTACATATTTTGAAAACAAATTTAATAAATGAAAAATGGTATCTAATAATTTTCACTGGCATTATTTTCAACATTGAAATACTGTTTATAAAAGCAATGTGTGCCCATTAAAAAAATCAAATCATTCAGAGGAATATGACATTAAAATGTAAATTAGCTAAAATTTTGCTTTAAAAACCTTGCAATAGTTTTTAATTTTTTAATTATGTATTTTATTTCATTTTCAGTCCCATTCAGGTATAATTGACAAATAAAAATTGTATATATTTGTGGTATACAGTGTAATATTTTGATGTACTCTACATTGGAAACAATTACCAAAATCAAGCTAATTAACATATCCATCACCTAACATGGTTGCCTTAGTTGTGAGAACATTTAAGATTTACTGTTAGTAAATTTCAAGTATACAATACAGTATTATTATGTATTGCTATACATTAAGTCTCCAGAATTAATTCATTCTGCATAGCTGAAACTTGGAACCCCTTGACCAACATCCTTCTATTTCTTCAACACCCCATTCCTTGCAACCATTTTATTTCCAGCTTCTATAAGTTTGACTTTTTTAGATTTCACACATAAGTGAGATTATACAGTGTTTATCTTTCTGTGCCTGGCTTATTTCACTTAGCAGAAGGTCCTGTTAACTTAAATAACAAAGAGAGAGAGGCTCTCTAGAGAAAAGATGTTTATTTGGGAAGGAAGCATTGCAATGGGAACTTGCCATAGTTAGTCAATGTATTAGTCTGTTTTCACACTGCTACAAAGAACTACCAGAGACTGGGTAATTTATGAAGAAAAGAGGTTTAATTGACTCATAATTCTGCAGGCTGTACAGAAAGCATGACTGGGAGGCCTCAGGAAACTTACAATCATGGTGGGAGGCAAAGGGGAAGCAAACACCTTCTTCACATGGTGGCAGGAGAGAGAGACCTAAGGGGGAAGTGCCACACACTTTTAAACCATCAGATCCTATGAGAACTCACTATCACAAGAACAGCAAGGGGGAAATCTGCCCCCCATGACCCAATTACCTCCCACCAGGCCCCTCCTCCAATCCAACATGAGATTTCTGCAGGGACACAAATCCAAACCGTATCAGTAAACTGTCTGCATATTCAGAGAGATAAAGGAATAAAAAGGTTTTTAATGGAAAAAATGAAGAGAATTACATTATTGTTTTGAAATACTTATCCTTGGCTACAAAGATCAATAATAAGGATGACGCCAATTTGAGGTTGGACAGGCAGTTGCTTGGCAGATGTACTTGCAGAAGTATTTTTGTGTGTGAGGTTTCAATGTCTGTTGTGCAAGGTTGTGGTTTTTGTAATCATTTTTGTTATTAGGCATGTAAGTATAATATCCCTCCCTTCATGGCCTTCCCTGGCTCTATTTGTCAGGGTTTTCTTAATGTTAGTGATTCAATTTTGTTTCTGACAACTTTCACAGTCCTCCAGGTTCACCCATGTTGTCAAAAAATGACAGAATATCCTTCTTTTTTAAGGTTTATTAATATTACACTCTTTGTCTTCGTGTGTGTGTATTATACACCCCATATTTTCTTTATTCATTCATCCATTAATGGATATTTAGATTGATTAAATATTGTGGCTATTGTGAATAATGCTGCAGTTAACATAGGAATGTAGATATCTCTTTGAGATACTGATTTTATTTCCTTTGAATATATATACCCAGAAGTGTGATTGCTGGATCTTACAGTAGTTCTATTTTTAATTTTTGAGGAATCTTCATACTGTTTTCCATAATGACTAATATACTAATTTACATTTCCACCAACAGTGTGCAATGGTTCCCTTTTCATCATATTCTTACCAACCTTTGCTCCCTTTTGTCTTTCTGTAATAGCCATTATAACCAATGTGAGGTGATATCTCATTGTAGTTTGAATTGCATATCTCTGATGATAAGTAATGTTGAGCTTTTTTTTTTTTTTTTTTAAATAGAGATGGGGTTTCACCATGATGGCCAGGCTGTCTTGAACTCCTGACCTCAAGCGATCCTCCTGCCTCAGCCTCTCAAAGTGCTGGGATTACAGATGTGAACCACCATGCCCGGCTGATGTTGAGAATTTTTTTTTTTATTATTATACTTTAAGTTCTAGGTTACATGTGCAGAATGTGCAGGTTTGTTACATATGTATACGTGTGCCATGTTGGTGTGCTGCACCCATTAACTCGTCATTTACATTAGGTCTATCTCCTAATGCTATCCCTCCCCCCCTCCTCCCTCCTCCCTCCCCCATCCCCCCACCCCCCACCCAACGACAGGCCCCGGTGTGTGATGTTTCCCTTCCTGTGTCCAAGTGTTTTCATTGTTCAGTTCCCACCTATGAGTGAGAACATGCGATGTTTGGTTTTTTGTCCTTGTGATAGTTTGCTGAGAATGATGGTTTCCAGCTTCATCCATGTCTCTACAAAGGACATGAACTCATCCTTTTTTATGGCTGCATAGTATTCCAGGAAACAACAGGCGCTGGAGATGATGTGGAGAAATAGGATCACTTTTACACTGTTGGTGGGACTGTAAACTAGTTTAACCATTGTGGAAGACAGTGTGGCAATTCCTCAAGGATCTAGAACTAGAAATACCATTTGACCCAGCCATCCCATTACTGGGTATATACCCAAAGGATGTTGAGCATTTTTAAATAAACCTGTTGGCTATTTGCATTTCTTCTTTGAGAAATGTCAGTTCAGGTCCTTTACCCATTTTTAAATTGGGTTATTTGGGTTTTTTTTTTGCCAATGAATTCAGTTCCTTATATATTTTAGATATTAACCACTTATCAGATGTATGGTTTGCAGATATTTTCTTCCATTCCATAAGTTGTCTTTTCACTCTGTTGATTGTTTTCATTGTTGTACAAAAGCTTTTTCGTTTGATGCAATCACATTTTTCTATTTTTGCTTTGTTGCTAGTGCTATTGGATGTAGCCAAAAAGTGATTGCTCAGACCAATGCCAAGAAGCTTTTTTCCTGTTTTCTTCTTATAGTTTTTCTGTTTTAGGTCTTATGTTTAAGTTCTTAATTCATTTTGACTTAGTTTTGTATATGGTGTAAGATAAAAGTCCATTTCATTCTTCTACATGTGGATATCTAGTTTTGCCAACAACATTTATTGAAGAGGCTGTTCTTTCACCATTATGTATTCTATCAATTTGGTGTATATAGACTATTGAATGCATGGATGCTTCTTTAGATAAGTAGACTAATTATTTTGTAGTGTGCTTTATTTTAGCCAATAACTTTTTGATCAGACAGACCTGAATTTGAGTAGTGGTGCCATTTATTGGCTGGCTACATTTGGAAAAGTTATGTAAATCATCTAATCCTCTGTAAAATGTACCATAAAGTGTTTATCACTGTGTATGGTTTGTAATAAGAATTTGACAAATATTATCCACTGAACGCTTACAATTACCTATTATTGCCCAGAGAACATCTTTGAACAATAGCTCAGTTTTTTTTAGTATACATTCCAAGCAGTAGAACATCTATATATATTTGCTGAATGTTGTTTCCATTATACACTCAGAGATATAGCACAGCATTTTAACATTTTGATACTTGTTGATAGATTTTTTTTGTTAAGAGATTAACATTAATTTATATCCTAATAATGTATACGTATTTTGCCACCTTGGTACCAATATTGGATGTTTTCCCATGTTTTACATCTTTGGCAATCAAGTAGTTAAAAATGATTTATCATTGTTATTTTAATTTGCATTCTTAAAATGTTTGTATTTCTTCTTTTCTAAATGTCTGTTTAGATCTCTATTCATTTGATAATCCTTTATTAGTGTGAGAGCTGTTTAAATGGACAATGTTAAAAAACATATATGCATACATTATATATATATATATATATCCCAAGTTTTATATATATCCATTTCATATATATATATGAGACATGGGATAGTCCCATATGTATATATATATACACACACATATAGATAGTCCCATAATAACATAAAAGTTAGAAAGAATGCATGTCAAAAAATACAAAGGCAAAAGACAAACTGGTGACATAGGAGATATATATATAAATGTGTGTGCCAAATAAATTGAACTATTTTTAAGTGTTTTCTTTAGGGTTTGGTATTCTGTTTTCTGTAACTTTTTACTATAGAGATACATTTATGGTAAAGTTTTGATAAATAATGTTTTTATTTATGAGAAGAGTCTAATTTTCTAGAATTTTAAGTTTAGCCTGAGGAAGAAACTTGGTTTTTATTTATTTACTACCAGAAGGACATACAAAGCAGTGAAGCTGATGCTTTCAAATTATGAGGTCCTTAAATTCCTACTGGAGCTCTGAGGTGGGTTGCATGACAGATTTAACTTGGCAAACCTCACAGAAGCTTATAAGCAACCAGTATGTCTTTCAGAATTCAGGACATACCATTTCCTGATTTCAAGAACAAATCTAAGAGTATTTAGAAAACTCTTTACTGTAAGGAAACATGGATTTGTTTCCTTACAGGATCTGGCTGCCTCCAGGTGAAATACTATAGTTATATTAAATGGGGCTGTGATGCTGAAATAGTGCAGTCAAAGAAAGATGCCTTGATCTTCACCATCAATTGCAGGGCAAGAGATTAAAAGTGAAATACACCACTGCAGGTCTGATTAAGAGTGAGATGACATTTATCTACGCCACAGGTTTTATCTGTCATCTTTCATTGACCAAGTGATGATGCTGCAAATGAAAATTTTGGGGGCTCTTTTGTAGAAACATTCTTTGAACAGTATGATTGTACTTGCTTTAACCTTGGTGGTTTCTTACTATTACTTTGTTCGTAAAGGTATTTGACAGGATGGTCTTAGTTATTTAAAGTTACCTTAGCACCATCTTGTTAAACTTTTTCTTTCACTGCTGTTCAAACCTTTTTTCAGGAATGTCTTTTGATATAGAATTCTGGAGGACAATCTTATCTATTTACTAAATGATTCAATAAAAAATAGTATATAATTTCCTGAATTCCTACTAAAATTTGAACACCTGCTGCTTACCATTTGACATTTTCTCCAACATGAGTATTATTAAGTTTCTGTTAAGTTTTAAGTGTTTTCATGTGATCCACAGATAGCCTTGAATGCTGATAAATTGCTTATATGTGCACTGAAAACTTGCAAGAAAAGCAAATCAAAGTAAACAGTATTTCTCTTGTCAATTGAGATGAACGAAAATCCTTGACAATAGTTTCAGTGTACAAGGAAACAAAAATAACCAAAATCATGGCTAAGCAAAATCTACTAATAAGAACACTGAATTTAGTACTGATAAAAATTATCACTTGTAGTACTCATAGCTTACAAGTTATTAAAGCCAAACCATTATCTTTTATTATCTACTCAAAACTTTTATTATCTATTCAATATACTGCATTAGAGTTTGTGGTAAGAGTGGATATATTTTATAGTTTCATAAATTCTTCTGGTTTTATTTGTCAATATTTACTTTTTTGACATATAATATTTTTATTAGCCTAATGCAATTAGCTTTCAATAGGGTTCCTAAATTATAATCTGTGCTGCAATAAAAAGTAAGAGTTTATTGTTCTTTTCTGTGCTCTCTATTAAGTTTATTCAACATTTTGGTATATGGCATCTACATATTCCTTGAAAAAAACAACTTCATGCACACCATTGCTGGTGGATATAATCTTGTGATTTATAACAACCTTTTTGTGCTTGATATATAATTTGCCATTGTATGTTATTTATTTACATTTGTGAAACAGCCAACATTATCTCTCATAATTTACTACGTGGAAATTATAAACTTGTGCAGAAGGAAAAACAATGACTTTTAACAATGACTACAATGAATTAGATCTGTGAGTCACCCAACTATGGTCAACAGCCAAATCTAGCCCAATGCCTGTGTTTGTAAAGTTGTATGGGAACACAGCTGCACTCATTTGTTTATGTATTGTCTATGGTTGTTCTTACACTGCTTTGGAAGAACTGGGTAGCTGTGATAAAGTAAAAACATATTTACTCTCTGGACCTGCAGGGAAAAGTTTACCAAGTCCCTGAGTTGGATGACTTTTTAGAGTAAAAAAAATTAACAATCATATTTTTATCATGGAACTATTTCTTCAAACAAAAATATTAGGAATTTACCCAAATATATAAAACAAAATTATTTTAAAAATGGATATCAGAAGCAACCACTTAAGATCTTATCAAGTTGAACACCATAAACTCCTTATCACCTCTAAAAAGCTCAAATGGATTCTTATGGGAGTGTTAGAGTTCAGTGGCCAGAATCAGCAGGGAGGAGATTTTCACCATAACTACCCAAGGCAAGTCTGGTGTCTTCCTTGAACCTCCAGATTGACTTCGACATCTGGAAAGACCATTTATCTCACCTTAATTATCAATAAAAAATACACAAACTTTTTAGACCTCAGGCAACTTACTGACTGTAAGCAGGTTATGCTGATTAATTTTGGCCAAAAATTGTGGGTGCAGATCAACCACCATAAATCTAAAATAATAATTTGTGGTATTATCTATATATATATTAGGTCTCATTATTCAATCATGTAGCTGAATAATTTGCAATTAATTCATATTCAGAGATTTGCCATGGATGTTCTTTGGTTAAAATTTGATAGAGCATTTAGAGCTGAGTCTAATGGACCTGGTTGGGTCTTTAACTGGGATAGGTTTGTCACCAGGGTCATGAGCTTCAAGATAAATATGACACTTCTTTTTTGGAGCATCAAATTTTCTTGAAAAAAAGTAAATAATTAAATGTATTATAAAATTGTATACTTAGTAAATGTAATTAATTAATATAAAAGTATGTGTATGTGCATATATGTATATGTATGTGTGCATATAAATATATAATAGAGAGAGAAAAAGAGAAAATAACTGTGGAAAAATATTAACAAGTGCTATATCTAGGTCATGGATTCTCAACTGGGGCAATATCACCTTTAAGAGGGTGAAAATTTGTTCTTAGGAAGCCAAAAACTTACTCTTTTATGTATTAAATGTAAGTACACATAGAGTGCACAGATACATAGTATATCTGTAGTACTAAAACTTGTGTGGGGGTTTGCAGTTAGGAAAAAGCATCTAAAAAGGCTTCTTAGGAGGGTGTTATTTTCAACTAAAGGCTGAGAAACACTGATCTGAGTGAAGGGTATGGTCATTTTTATTGTACTATTCTGGCAAATTTTCTGAAGGTTTAAAAGGAGTCTCTGATAATGATGAAACTATATTTTCATTCTCTTTCTTCACTGGATAGTACTGAATAGTACCAAATAATCTAGGTATTACCAACTATATGTAAACATTTAGAAGTGGTTTTATTATAAGCAAAAAGAGTGAAACTTATTTTTGGCCAAACTGGTTGCTAGTTGCTTTGATAGCCCAGAGAGAAGGAAAATGACATGAGAGCAAGAACAAGCAACTGGGGATGGAGCCTGATGCAGGGATCCTAGTGCAGTCTGAGCCTCACACACTGGCTGTGGAGTAAAGGAGTGGAAAGAGATGGCCTCTACTATTTTTTTCTGAAATCAAAGTTGCCATCGTTCAAATCAGATGTTTTGAACTTTTGATTACACACTACAAAATTGATTCCTTCAGATTAGCTCAATTCATGCTGCAATTGTACCCAAACATTTTGCCTGCATATATACTACTGTGTTGAAGGTTCTTTTCTTCTTATGGTGATTCCTGGCTGATATGATTGTATTTTAAATTCTATATTTATGAATGCGTGTGTTGTGATTTTAAAGTCATTCATCATTCACCTTAAAGTATATTGCTTAAAATTAAATTTTCAATTGGTAATAATATTTGGTGATGAAAAAATACTTTGAAGTATAAGCTTAAAGAAAAACAACAACTCGTAATGGGAGGAAGTTCACAGCAACTGGAACTCAGCAAGAGTGAAACAGACCTAGCATTTTTCCTAAAGTCCTCATAATGAGCTTAAGAATGGTACATATGTTAGCATTGAGGCAACCATAACTACAGAATAAAAATGTCAGATAAAGAAAAGTGTAATATATTTAAAAATTTAGATATGGGATTATCATCTTAGAAAGACAGGTGAGCCTAAGTCTTAGATCTCTCATTCATAAAAATGATAAAAACAAAATCAAAAGCTGCTTTGGAGGCAAATGTGTGGGTCTGTTACTTTTGCAGTGACATTTACAAATCATGAAAATTTTGAAGGAAAATCTAAAAAGAGAAACATCTTGGCTAGAAAGAAAATCATTAAAAATGCAAATAGTAAAATAAAAGTATTTTAACAATTCTTATGGTCAGTTTCAGCTTCACCTTGTAAAGTGACACTCCTGTAATAAAAAATTACTGTGTGATAGAAATGGCTGGATCTATTCTGGATCAAAATCAGAAAGCCAAAGTAAAAAATATTCCACTATGAAGCACCACCTTTTCTAATGTGTTCAAAAGGCATGCTTTCAGCGCTGATTGAGAGACTGAGGCTCACTTGGTTGAATAAAAGAATGGATAATAATAGTTTGACTTATTTTTTAAATGTAGCTTTGCTTGCTATATTTATAACAATGTTTCTGAAGAGAGGTTACTTTGCAAAGTCTTTTATGGATAAATAAATTTTCAGTAAAAGAATTTTGATAAAAGCTGTCCAGACATGTGCACAGATGGACCATGTTTAGAAAAGGAAAAAACACAGTAGAAACTTTGAATACACTGATAGCCACCTCATTGTTTATCAAGTATGCCCCACCTCAAACACTCTGCCTCCTGGTCTTTTCATTTTGAACCAGGGTTGGGAGTGGGTGGGAAGGACAAAAATTATATATTTTGAAAAAAATTGTTATTTGAATACTTAACTTTGTGGCAACTTTATACAGAAAGAAGTGGAGGGCTTGCTTTCCATATTGTGGAAGGAACTTGTCAAAATTTAAGTTTTATTTTTTCTCAGTGAAAAAGAAATATTAAGACAAAGTCTAAAGAATGAGTAGCTAAAATAAATGAATCTACCCCGGTGTTTATTTAATTTAATGTGGCTGAAAACAACCAACAATTGTGAAGAAAGGCTGTTTTTCTGCAATAATGAAAGAGACTAGAGAGTTAGATGCGGACAGTTAATTATGGAAGCTATGAATTATTTGAGATCACAGAGCTGCAGTGAGAATTAATAGAGTTAATGAATATAAAATTAGATGGCCAGCACAAAGTAGCCATTCAAAAAAGGTAGTTTGTTTTATATGATTATTCATCTTCAGCAAAAATATCATTGCATGAGTGTTTTTATTTTTTTATTTTTTATTTTTTTGCTGAGGTAAAGAACATCCAGTGGACCTGAGTGACCCAGCTCCTTAGTAGATACAGATGTCAAAATTTCCACTGCTGGTAGCAAAAAGTTGTGTATTGTGCAGCCAGTGGTGTGCTGGTGATAGCTTCTTCTGGCTTGCAGGAATCAATTGTAAAGTTTTCCAGAAACTTTGCAAGCTAGCTGACGTGACCTTAAACGGCCTAAAGTAGGCTATGTTTGGAGTATTTATACCATAGAAATTGGCAAACGTCATGTCAGGACATTTTTCTTTTAGAGACCTGGTTGTTATACATTTACGAGTTCTCCACTACCTAAAATATCTTTGGTAAATTCTGGACTTCTTCTTTGTGATTGACTTGACGTTTAGCAGTGAAAAAAAAGATGTTATTACTTCTAGTCTCATATTTGTAAATGTATTTTTAAAATATAGTCACATCAAGTAGGAGAAAAATTGGATGCTAAAGCTGACATGTGGTGCCTTGTTCAACAATTTAGCCTGCTTTCTAAAATTGATACACATGACTTTGTAGAACTATTGGGAAGGCATGCTTGTTCTCTTTGTACACTAGACTTTCTTCGAACAAAATGCTTTAGAAGAACAGGTATACATTGAATAAGGAAAGCACCTAAAATTCAAATTTGTAAGAATTGTGCATGAAATCAGTCTTGTTTTCACATACACACACACAAATAAGCCTTCTTTTGGGGGTCAATGTTAGTTTCATATTGCTGCTATAACAAACTATTATTAACTCAGTGGCTTAAAACAATAAATGTATTATCCTATAGTATGAAGTTAAAAAGTGCAATATCAGTCTCATTGGGCTAAATTCAGATGTTGGTAGGTCTACATTCCCTCTGGGGGCTCTTGAGGACAATCCATTTTCTTGCCTTTTTCAGCTTTTAGAGGTCACATACATTCCTTGGCTTGTGGACCCTTCCTCCATATTGAAAGCCAGTTGTGTAGTGCTTTCAAATATCTGTCTCTGACCTTTGCTTCTATCCTCCTCATATATCCTTCTCTGACCAACTCTCCTGCCTTGCTCTTTCCCTTTAAAAGGGCATTTGGAATTACACTGTGCCCACCCAGATAATCCAGGATAACCTCCCCATCTCAAGAACCTTAATTTAATTCCAGCAATAAAGTTTCTTTCACCATGTAAGGTGACAGGTTCACAGGTTCTGGATAATGGATGTTGATATAGCTAGTGAGTCAATTAAACCTCTTTCCTTTATAAATTACCTAGTCTCAGGCATTTCTTTATAGCAGTGTGAGAATGGACTAACACACTAATACAGTAAATTGGTACAAAGGTAGTGTAGTACTACTATAAAGTTACTTGAAAATGTGAAATTGACTTTGGAACTGGGTAAGAGGTAGAGGTTGGAACAGTTTGGAGGGCTCAGAAGACAGAAAGATGTGGGAAAGTTTGGAACTTCCCAGAGACTTGCTGAATGGTTTTGACTAAAATGCAAATAATGATGTGGACAATGAAGTCCAGGCCGAGGTGGTCTCAGATGGAGATAGGGAACTGGAGCAAAGGTCACTCTTACTATACTTTAGCAAAGAGACTGGCGACATTTTGCCCCTGCCCTAGAGATCTGTGGAAATTTGAATTTGAGAGAGCTGATTTAGGCTATCTGGGGGAAAAAATTTCTAAGCAGCAAAGCATTTAAGATGTGACTTGGGTGCTCTTAAAAGCATTCAGTTTTATATATTCACAAAGAGATGGCTTGGAATTTGAACTTATATTTAAAAGGGAAGCAGAGCATAAAAGTTTGGAAAATTTGCAGCCTAAAAATTCGGTAGGAAAGAAAAACCCATTTTCTGAAGAGAAATTCAAACTGGCTGCAGAAATTTGCATAAGTAATGAGGAGCCAAATGTTAATCAGAAAGACAATGGGAAAATGTCTACAAGGCACGTCGAAGGGCTTCAGAGCAGCCCTTCGCATCATAGGAATCGAGGCCTAGGAAGAAAAAGTGGTTTGTGGGCCAGGCCCAGGGCCCTGCTGCTGCTCTGTGCAACCTCCAGACTTGGTGTCTGGTGTCCCAGCTGTGGCTAAAAGGGGCCAATGTACAGCTCAGGTCATTGCTTCAGAGGATACAAGCTCCAAGCCTTGGTGGCTTACACATGATGTTGGGCCTGTGAGTGCACAGAAGTCAAGAATTGAGGTTTGAGAACTTTTGCCCAGATTTCAGAGGATGATGTATGGAAAGGCCTGCATGTCCAGGCAGAAGTTTGCTGCAGGGGCAGAGCCCTCATGGAGAACTTCTGCTAGGGCAGTGCAGAAGGGAAGTGTGGGGTTGGAGCCTACACACAGAGTCCTAACTGGGGCACTGCCTAGTGGAGATATGAGAAGAGGGCCACATCCTCCAGACCCCAGAATGGTAGATCTACCAACAGCTTGCACCTTGTGCCTAGAAAAGCTGCAGACCCTCAATGCCAGCCCATGAAAGCAGCCAGGAGGTAGGCTGTATCCTGTAAAACCACAGGGGCAGAGCTCTCTAAAACCATGGGAACATACCTCTTGCATCAGTGCGACCTGGTTATAAGAATGCAGTCAAAGGAGATCATTTTGGAGCTTTAAGATTTAATGATTGCCCTGTTGAATTTTGGAGTTGCATGGGGCCTGTAGTCCCTTTATTTTGGCCAATTTCTCCCATTTGGAATAGTATTATTTATCCAATGTCTGTACTCCCATTGTATCTTGGAAGTACCTACCTTGCTTTTGATTTTACAGGCTCATAGGCAAAAGAGAATTGCCTTGCCTCAGATAAGACTTTGCACTTGGACTTTTGAGTGACTGATGGAATAAGTTAAGACTTTGGGGGACTCTTGGGATTGTGCTTTGAAATGTGAGGATATTAGATTTGGGAGGGGCCAGGGGTGGAATAATATGGTTAGGCTTTGTGTCTCCACCCAAATCTCATCTTGAATTGTAATTCCCATAATTCCCACATTTCTAGGGAGAGACCTGGTGGGAGATCATTGGATCATGGGGAAGTTTTCCTATGCTGTTCTTGTGATAGTGAGTGAGTTCTCATGAGATCTGATGGCTTTATAAGGGGCTCTTCCCCCTTAGCTACTCACTCTTCTCCTTTCTGCCACCTTGTGAAGAAGGCGCTTTGCTTCCCTTCTACCTTCCACCAAGATTGTAAGTTGAGGTCTCTCAAGCCATGCACAACTGTGAGTCAATTAAACCTCTTTCCTTTATAAATTACCCAGTCTCAGGTATTTCTTTATAGCAGTGTGATGACATCTGTATTAGTCCATTCTCACACTTGTATAAAGAAAGAATCGAGACTGGGTAATTTATAAGAAAAGTGGTTTAATTTGCTCACGATTCTGTAGGCTGTACAGGAAGCATAGTGGCACCTGCTTCTGGGAGGCTTCAGGAAATTTCCAACCATAGTGGAAGGCACATGAGGGACAGGCATGTCATGTAGTGAAACCAGGAGCAAGAGAGAGTGAGGGGGGAGAGGTGCTACACACTTTTAAATGACCAGATTTCATGAGAAAACAAACTCACATTGTGAAGACAGTACCAAGGGGGGTGGTGCTAAACCACTTATGAGAAATCCACCTCCATGAGCCAATCACTTTCCACCAGGCCCCACGTCAAACATTGGGGATTACATTTCAATATGAGATTTGGACGGGGACATATGTCCAAAGTATATTAACTTCTTTGGGCAGACATTATTCTCCCTAACACAGTCCACCTCCTGGCCCCCAAAGATTCATGTCTGTCCCATATACAGAGTACATTTATGCCAACCAAGTACCTAAAAGTTTAAACTCATTTGCAGTTCAAGTCCAAGATATTATTTAAACTTCATCAGCTCAAAAGTTTAAAATCTCTTTTACCATCATCATCTCCATTGGGTATGGGTTAGGCTTTGGATATAATCCCTCCTAGGTCAAAATAGATCTCCCTTATGAATGTGTGAGACTAGAAAATATGTTATCTGCTCTCAGAATACATTAGTGGAACAATTATAGCTTACCAGTTATGCACATTCCTATTCAAAAAAGAAGAAAGTAGAGAAAAAAAAGAAATTACCCGTCCTGAGGAATTTTGAAGTTATTGGTCCTGAGGAAGCTTTAAAAATTTCATTAGATTTCAAAGCCAGGGAATATTTCTCATAACTTAGAACTCTTTCCTTAGTGTCATCTTTCCTTTTTCATGACAGGTAGCACATATTTGCAGCTGAGTAGTTTTATTAACCTGACTATAGCATTAAGGAATCAGAGTCCCCTTTCATATCATACTTTTCAATCCCTCTGGGGCCAAGCTGGCAGTGTTTCTGCTAGTATAAGGTTCTCAAGAACCTTGTGTGTCTCCTGCGTATGTCACAGGAGAACTCACTTCATTAGAAAAGAGGCTCCTTCAGAGATCTTTCCTGCCTAATTCCATCTATATTCCTAGCTTCTTCTGATGTGACTGAAAAGATCCGAGAGTCACATGCCTAATTTCTTCAAAGAGTCCTCTGTGTGACTGAATACTCTGACCTTTTGATGTTTCTGAAGTACCAGAAAAAGCTTGACTTTCTCTCCAATGCATGCTTTTCTGACAGTGAATCTCCTAATTTTAACATATGTTGCTAATAAATGTTAAAGATAGGTTAACAATTTCTCAAATAATCAAGTCCTGATTTTCACTCAACAATTTTTCCCAACAGTTATTCCTTCAATTTGTCTCTTTCCTCTCACCTGTTACTATACACAGCAAGAAAACAAAACAAAACAAAACAAACAAACAAAAAAAACCAGCCTCACTTTGCTTGAGAAGATCCTCAGCTAAATATCCAAGTTCACCATTTAAAAGCTTTGCTTCCCACATAACTACAGGAGACAGTTCAGCTAAGTTTTCTCCTATTACAGCAAGAATACCCTTTCCTCCAATGGCCAAGAACATTTTCTTCAGAGACCTCACTGGCAGCATTTTTGCCACCCATATTTCTACTGACAGCTTAAGACAATTTAGTACTCTCTTAAGACCATACATATTTTCCCTGTGGTGCTCCTCACTTCTGAGTCCTCATTAGCAGGGCTGTTAATCTTTGTTTCCATGATTGGTCTGTTAAAGGCAATCAAGATTTTTTAAACTATGCTTCTCAAATTCTTCCAGCTTCGATCCTATTCTACAGTTTCAAGACCACTTCATTGTTTTTAGATATTTGTTACATCAGCATCCCCACCTCCAGGCCCAAAATCTATATCAATCAGGGTTCAGACAGAGAAATAGAACCAGTAGAAGACTAATATTAGAAAATGTATGTCAAAGATTTGGCTCATGTGGTTGTGGAGGCTGGCTAGACACATCTTAAATCTGCAGGACAGGCAGTCAAGAAGAGCATGCTAGCAAGCTTGGACATTAGTTGAAGATACTATCCATAAGCAGAATTTTTTCTTCTTCAGGGGAAGCCTCATTTCTGTTCACCAGGCCTTTCGATGATTTAATCAGGCCCTCCAGGATTATCTAGGATAATATTCCTTACTTAAATCCAACTGAATATGAGTTTTCATACATCTACAAATACCCTCAAAGCAAAATCTAAATTAGTACTTAAAGGAATATTTGTGGACTGTAGCCTGGTCAAGTTGACACATAAAGTTGACCATCATGGAGCGTCAGAAGAAATATCTCTCTGGTGAGTATTGAAAAAAGTCCAGTTTCTCTTGAATAACTAAGTGGATTTTATCTCATACCTGATTAATTTTTTTCTATCCTTTTTACTAGTAATTTTAGATCTAAATCTTTGACCCAATCTAATAACTACTCTGTACACCAAAGACTGTTACTTTACTATTTTCTCTTTGATCTAATTTTTGAATTCATTTTTAGTTTTATATTATATGTACTTGTCTTCTAATTTTTATGGAAATCATGCCAGAGTAATAAACATAATAGTGGTGACCATGTGTTGTCTCTTTGATCCCCTGGGTTTGACATTCTGTTTCTAATAAAACTGTGGATTGTTGCTTCTTTTATAACTCTAACAAATTTTTTTTTTTTTTTTGAGGTGGAGTCTTACTCTGCTGCCCAGGCAGGAGTGCAGTGGTATGATCTCGGCTGATTGCAACCTCTGCCTCTCAGTTTCAAATGATTCTTCTGCCTCAGCCTCAGAGTAGCTGGGATTACAGGCACGTGCCACCATGCCAGGCTAATTTTTGTAGTAGAGACAGGGTTTCACCATGTTGGCCAGGCTGGTCTCGAACTTCTGACCTCAAGTGATCTGCCTGCCTCGGCCTCCCAAAGTGATGGGATTAGAGGCATGAACTGCCAGCCTAACAACTTTTAAAACAGATTTTTGCTACAAATGTAACAATATATGTTACAGGTGTGTTTTTGTGTGCCGTTTATGTTATCTCAATTTATCAGCACCTTATGAGAAGGTAGTGGCTAAACATTTGGAGGATTTAGTTTTCTCCTTTAGGATTGGTCCGTGTAGCAAATAAATGTTTCCTAAACCTAAAAATATGCTTAAAGCTTTCAAAACCTTTGAGGAGGTTTTAAAAATAACTAAGGTGTATGTTGAGTTTTAATGGTTTCCCTATAAGAGTATTACTATAAGCTACAACTTAACCTCAAAACTTTTATAAATGACACTTGACGTTAACTTAGTTCAACTCCCTGAGTTAGCCTAGGATGGCAATGAGAGCACAAGGACAGGGCTGCTCTCCATTGGGCTCTGTCACCCCACATCTCACACCATATGTCTAAGTTCTGTCTGTATATTTTAAGCTTCTTGTGGGAAGAATATAAGCTCTTTGCTTCTCTCCCTATCTAGGAGAAGTTTTTCACCAAATTCTTTTAAATCTTTTTCCTAGACAGGGAATTTTTCACTCTTATTAGTGGGCATAAAAGACTATTAAAATGGTATAGCAATATCTTTTGTTCTGTTTTTATTTCTATGTAGCTAGATTGAGAAAGCAGATCATGGACTTTTTCTTGAATGAGAAAACTCTATCCATCTATCCATACATCTATTCCTTAAAATTTAGTAAGAATGTATCCTGTGCTAGGCTCCGTTTCAGTTTCTGAGTATATATTGGTGAACAGATTAGGTTGTATTAGGTTTGGTCCTGGCTTGCATGGAAGTTTCATTTTAATGAGGAGACACAATAAAACATAAGCAAATGATTGATTATAACAATATTGATCATGGTAACTCTTATGTAGAAACTAAAACATAGTGTCTTAGGGTTCTTCAGAGAAACAGAACCAATGGAGTAAACACACACACACACACACACACACACACACACACACACACACACGAGGAGGTTTATTATAGGTATTGGTTCACATGGTTATGAAGGCGAGTGATCCTGGTCAAAGTCCAAAGGCCTGAGAAGTAAGAGCATCCAAAGACAAAAGAAGATGCATGACTCAGCCCAAACAGCGTGAGCAAATTCTGCCTTTCCTCTGCCTTTTGTTTCATATGGGCACTCAATGGATTGGATGGTGCCCACCCACATTGGCAAGGGAGGTCTTCTTTCCTCAGTCTATCTATTCAAATGCCAATCTTTTTCAGGCACCCCCTCACAGACAAACCGAGCAATAATAGTTTACAGAGTATCTGGATATCACTTAGGCTAGTCAAGTTGACACATAAAATTAACCACTATACAAAATAATGTGCCAGTGAGCTAGAATGGAGAAACAGTTTACATAGAGTGGTCAGGAAAGACCTCTATGAGGATGTGACATTCAAGCTAAGTTTTGAATGACATGAAGGAGCCATATCTGAGGGCGGAGTTGCAGGCAGAGACCAGTGTAAAGGTCCGTAGGTAGGGATGAGATGGCTGTTATACCAGTATGGTTGAAGACAGAGGAGGTAGAGAGATAGAGCTGAAACACATAACCCTTGGTAGGGACTTTGTCAGTAAGGAGACAAAGTCCTTCCTGACCTTGTCTTGTTTTTATGAAGGTGATATAAGTCACTGGAGGGTATTAAGTAGGAGAATGACATGTTTGTGTTTGAATTTTGAAATTTTGTCTCTGCTTGCTATACAGAGAATAGATTGTGTGTGTGTAGGATGTGAGAGCTGGGGGTGGTAAAAAATGGAAGCTGGAAATTCATTTTTGGTGTCATTGTAGACATCCTGGGAAGAGTAGAGGGAGCCTTGTACCAGCATGGCATCAATGGAATGGAAAAAAGCAAGTGGATCTGGGTTATTGCTATTTTTTTTGAGCTAGAACTGCAAATCTTGTGGGAGAGTCACAAACTAAGGGGGAGAACCAGGGTGAGACTGAAATCTAGGACTCTTACTAAGTGTTTGGCTTGATTAATTGGGTAGAGCCACATACTGAAATTTTTAAAAACTAGGAAAAGATTAGATGTGGTATGTGGGGTGTGTGTGTGTGTGTGTGTTTTTGTGTATGTGTGTCTGTGTGTGTATCAATACTTTCCTTTTGAGCATGATATGCTTGAGAAATGTATAAAGCATTTAACAAGAAATATCAAGTAGGCATATATATAAATATATGAGTCAAGAGCTCAGTGGCAAGGCTAGGGCTGCAGACGTCAGATACGTAGTTAGAAATAAATGGCATAGAGGTGGTATACAAAGCCATGGGATTAGATGGAATCACTTTTGGAGAAAGCATGAGTAGAACATGCTCACAGATTCTAACCATTTTCTGACCAGAGAGTGGCGAGATTTGAATTTAGGGTTTAAGCTGAGACAATGATGAAAATTCCCTTAGGTGCTAAAAAGAAGTTCCTTAAGCTACATATTCTACAACAGTTTAGAAGAGTTTTAATGACACAATTATTATATCATTAAAAGACATGTGGCCATGAATTCCATTCTCTCTGTGCATACATGTTTCCTCTATGCACAGAGAGAATGAAATTCCTGGCTAGTTGTGTTGCAGGGCAACAGTTCTCAACAAAGCCATGACCACTGCCAATGTCAAAGGATCCTACGGTCCCCAACCTTATAAACTACTACTTTCTAGTGGATGATAACTTTGTGAAAACAAATCACTGCAGAGAATAAAGAAAAAAAGGTAGTAAACCTTTGCCAGCAACATAGATGAAACACTTACTAACTTTAACAGTATTTTATTTTATAGACCAATTCTCTATACACTTAAAAACAAAACAAACTAATGTTTTGATTTAATTTAGTGAGTTGAAAGCCAAAAAATCTAGGCAACAGTTAAATTCACTTTATAAAGTTCTAGAAGTTTACTAGTAAGTAGCTGAAACACTTTTTATGTAAAATTATAAATGTGCCTGTCATTCATTTATAAGTATCTGAAAAAATATCTATGATTTTTGCTTAGGGAATCACTGGTCTAGGGCAGGACACTGGGTGCCCGGCTGTACATTATCTATGCTCACACAGATGATGCTTCTTTATCATTACAAAGAAGATATTTCTATGTTTTTTTGTAATGTCCACCCTCTGGCGAAGTGTTACCTTGTAATGAGAATTTATTCTTTTGGCTTCATAATTTTTTTGCAAGATAGCAGAAGTTTATAGGTTCTGTTATACACATGATGATGCAAATTTGTTTTAATGCTGTGTTCAAATGAAAAGACTTTGGTTGGTTTTGGTGTAGTACTTGAGAGTTTTGTAGATTACACTTACATAGCCCATGAATCCCATGTCTCTGAAAACTTCATTTTTGGCTGGGTAGCCTGTTGTCAAAGACCTTCATTCCTCCTGTTGATGTGGGACCCATAGAAGGATTTACTGTTCTGTGAAGGAACTTGGATGGTGGCTTCACTTCCTATCTGAGCTCTGCCTAGGCCACTCTGAAATTGGACCCACTTTTACCCTTCCCTGTGGAAAGGTTTTAAGGGATTAAGTATGTTAAGGTTTAGGGCAGGTAGCATTGCAACTTGCTTTTTACAAAAATATCTGGTGAGTATGTCTTCTTTATAGAGTTTCTATTTTATACGAAAGAAAAATAAATTGTTGTTAGTTTCATTTTTGTAACTAGGAAATTAGGCTTCAAATAGATTAAACCTTTTACCAATCACAGGCTGAAGTTCTTAAACAAAATCCTACAACAGAAAAAATGCCAGATTAGGTAAGGGAAAATACAGAGACCAAGGTCACAAACACATGAACGTTCTTATGTTTTCAATAATCATTAAAATTAATCAGACAGTGCAATAAACAAAATAAGCATTGTATCCACTATAAACATACTAAGTCAGAAATTGAAACTATCTAATTTTCAGTTCCCAGAAATTTACAGGATTTCCTTCCTATGTGATTTTAGTAAGATCCTTATATGTGAGTTTTTGAATGTTGCAGAAAATATGTATAGCAAGAGGCATTTATGTGTGTGTGTGTGTGTGTTGCCCCATTCAATTCTTCTATCCATTTCTGAATTTATAATTCAGTTAATTTCAGCCTCTTGAGTTCTTTCATGATCCCAGAGACCAATTATTTAGATGCTGAAGATGGAAACAAGAAGAGTTAACTTTATTTGGCATAGCTAGTTGGGGATATTCTAAATCCTCTAATGAAAACATGGTCTTAATTCTGTTTGTGGTCATTTGGGGCTAAACTATCTAATCTTCCACCTCTTTTCTTCACAGGACTCAGATCACTCGCTCCAGAGAGCGGGTGCCTCAAAACTTTGCAGGCATCCAGGGACAAAACTCTTTAGCTCTTTCTTCCCCTTTACCCAACTTTTTTCCTTCCAGTTCCCAGCTCAAAATGTTTCCAATTATCTCCAAAAGAAGATTGCAATTTTGGGTCCTAGAATAAAAATTCATAAGCTTGAGGAAAATTTATATATGGAAATAATTCCATCCAGATCAACAACTCACAGTTGAAGAGAGAGATAAAAGGCTTTGGAGTTGGAAAGACCTGAGTCAGAGGAATGACTATGCCGCTCACTGTGTGGCCTTGGGAAATTATTGAATTTTCAGTCCTCCAATTTCTTTGAATAATAATACATTTTCCATATAGGAGGTACTAAATGAGTTAACACATAAAGAATACTTAACACACTCCCTGACATATTAGTGCTTGAAGTCTTGAAGACTTCTCTGCTAGTAAAATTTAAGTACTATCACCTTTAGTTAATCCAGTTATTAATATAAACTGATCACCGTGGAAAGTGGCCAGTTATCATAACAAGGGTCTGTGAGTGAGTGTTCAGCTGAAGAATTAAAAAAAATTAATTAATTAATATGAATAAAGATTCATATACAGGGGTAGATGCAATTTAAGAAAAAGAAAACTGAAATGGCAAACCAAGGGGGCAAAATAGCATCTCTTCTAAGTTGTCAAGATTGTCACATTTTGGGGGACTCATACAGGCACCTGGTTAAAACAAATATTTAAGGACCAGTGAATAAATGGATTTAGAAGTGGTCATTGTTGGGGTTTAATGATGTAAAATAACTACGCCCTTTCTCCTCTCTGAGTCCTCAAACTATAGAAAGAGATCAATACTACTAGTAAAGCTGAATTTCTGAACACTACACGCCCCCAAAGCCAAATTGGGTTTCCAGTTTCTACTCCGTGGTGGAATACTTCACCCAGTCCCAGACCTGGTTGCAGACCACCCACAGGTCTTACTGGCACTGGGGATATTCTACAACTCTGCTAACCATAGGAGTGGTGGAAATGAATGGGAGAACAAATGCTTCTTACAGGCCTGCAGAGGGACTTAGGCATGGAGATAGACAGAGAGCGAGAAAGCCCGGGAGAGAATAAATTCCAGAAGGCAGAGCCCTGTATAGGTAGTAACCAGGGAGCTCCAGGTTTCATGGCTGGGAAGCGCAAGGGAGCAGCAATGGCAGACAGAGAGGGATGATTCTGTCATGGACAAAGCTAACTGGGAAGAATTGTTTGTAGTCACTATGTCTTATTTTATTGACTGCTTCCAAGATTGTCTTTGAGTTGCTTGACATAATTAATTTATGAGAATGCTTTTCAGGGGATAATTCTCTAAGATCTGGGGATGAAGAGAACATACTTCATTCCATTTTGATTGGGGTGGAATTTGAGATGGTCAGAATATGGGGTAGTACATGGGAAATGCATTTTATTTAAGTGAATGGAGAAGTGCCAGAGAGATACGTACCTAGAAAGGGCTTCTATGACAAGCCATTCCTTTTTGCTGACTGCAACTACCAGTGGGGCTTTTATATTTTCTATAATTTTCCTTTTGGGGATTATCAAATTATAACTGGAGGAATAAAACTTTCCTACTCTCCCCAACACAAGGTGGGGTGGAGAGTGCCATGTTGTGTAAGAATTTACTGAAGAGTTGGCAAGTGGTAATTTTCGAACTTTGTCCAAATCTTTGCTCAGCAGACAAAGGCCCAGAGCTGAGCTGGTTGTTTGGACTAGAAAAAATGAGCTAAACTTCCTTGCATAAGAAAGTGGAAATTATTATTTTCGCCTAAGAGGAAGTTGGCAGAAAACGGAATGGAGACAAGTGGAGCCAAGAGATAGGTGCATGACTGAAGAGTGCAGCAGAATGATCAAAGGATTTAAGAGCAGGGAAATCCAATCAGTTGTTTGTTTTGGTTGGGAAGGGAATAGAAATGATTAGAATTTGTGGCCCTGTAAGGGAAATGCAGTTGTCCTTAAGAAGTTTGCACCCCTCTGTGAACACCTCGTCTCCCTAAATCTTTCATAAAAACCTTTACACAATCACAACATTGCACTTAGTATCTGAGTCTTGTGCTCCTGGAAAGCAGCAAGAGTTAAATTTCAGCTGGGCATGGATGGTGACATATGTCTGTAATCCCAGCACATTGGGAGGCCAAGGCAGGAGGATCGCTTGAGTCTAGGAGTTTGAGACTAGCCTGAATAACATGGTGAAAACTGGTGTCTACCAAAAAATAAAATAAAATAAAATAAAATAAAAAAGTAAAAAAATTATCTGGGTGTAGTGGCAAGTGCCTGTAGTCTGAGCTACTCAGGGACTCGGGTGGGAGGATCACCTGAGCCCAGGGAGGTCAAGGATGCAGTCATCTGTGATTGAGCCACTGCACTCCAGTCAGGATGACAGAGTAAGATGCAGTCTTAAAAAAAAAAAAGAAATAAAAAGAAATTTCCCCACTCTTTTATGTCCTGGGAAATAGCTAATCACAGAAGAAAACTGCTCTTGAACATTCTGAGATAAGCCCCTCTGCATCCTTCCTTGTGATTCCCATATGACGATGATTCCCTTGTTTTTTTGCTCCCATAAACCCCCAGGCTCTCTTCCTTTTCTTTGAGATGCTTCTCATTAATGAATATTCTCATCCATATTATATTAATATTCTCATTAATATTCAAGAAATGGCAATAGCTTGAGTAAAATCATCTCCTTAATTGTTCAGTCCAGTGAATTTTTGTCTTTCACAGTTTTGATGTCATGACTTGTATAGAATTGGCCCTCAGATGGATTCTCATTTACTGCACCCAGATGATGAGTCTTTTCACAGCTCCTGTGCTTTGTTACTGACTAGCTATCCGGGGACCCAGTGGTGAGTCCAGCTGCTGGTCCTGTGCTCTGGACTCTTGTATACCTCTTGAACAATGAGGATTTGATTTTGATTTTTCTTGAGTTCTTGCTTTATTTCTGGTGCCAGCTTCATTTGGTTTAATGTTCTGACCATTTGGTGATCTCTGTAAGTGGATTAATGGTTTATAGAGATCTTATTTCTGTTAGGGGAAAGACAAAAGAAAATCTGGTTGGTTAGCCTTTTCTATGTGTCTATTTGCCTATTTTGAGGTCAAATCAATTAAGAATTTGGACCAGCTAAGAAAAGAACAGCCTTTCTGTTTTGTGGGCTTTGTATTTCTGTGTTTATTGCTTGACCTACTGCTGAAATTTTAGAATGGAAATTGTAAGCGTTCTCTCTTTCTGCAGCTATATGTTTATATGTATGTGATTTAGAAAGGCCCTTTACATTCCATTGTGTTAATGTGTAAGATTTTTCTATCTCTGCATGGTATTATCAAATTAGACTATAAAATTTATTAAGGGAGCTTTATTCTGATTGACTTAGAGTACTTATATAAATTGAATATTCCTAAAATTCCCAGAAATTAAGACTAATAAAATATTTTCAATGTGAAAAAAAGACTTAAAAAATAGGAACTTAGAAATGTTTTAATAATTCAAGTTTAAGTAATTTTGGTAAATCTTTGTCAAACAAGACTAATGATGTTAGCTTAATTGAAAAGAGATATATCTTCTCTGAGTTATCAGAATTAAATATAATACAATTGTGCATTTTTATTTGACGTTGGAATGTTTCCCTGAACTAATAAAAATTCACTGATAGAATAAGCTAACATTATTTTGACTTCATGTTTAAGATTATTAAAAATGTAAATCTGTGTTCAACCAAATTTAATTATTATTTTGACTACCTTTATTTCAGCAGTAATTGTAATACGTCAGTTTCAATATAATTTCCTAGATCTTTAGGTAACTTAAACTCTTGAATTTATTCAAGTTGAGTTAATTAATGTATATTCATTAGATGCCCACATCCTAAGTAAGATAGAACGCTGAAGGATTAATTACAAAACATAATTTTAAGGGTAAATGCTTTTTTGCCTTATTTTATGTGCTATAGAGAGGCTACATATCTGTGAGTCTGCCAACAATGTGTTCATTTTTGCTGTGTTGAGAAGTTGTACTGTAAGGGATGTGAGTGGCTATAGAGAGTTGTGAAGTGTTTATTAATGAGCTCTGTTACTCTGCTGCAAAATGCTGGTGTGTGAGAGACAGTTTATATTATCTACCTCACAATTTTCTCTGTGAAATAGCCATGACTGCGGTTAAAAGTTATAATCACTATAGGTGAATGAGACTCTACTAACAGCAATAGTGGTAAAGAGGAACAACTTTGTATGCAAGGTAATCAGGATGTATTAAGGAAAAAAGAGAAGTTTTGTCCTAAAATAACATAACTGATGTTCAGAATCAGGAAGAGGAAAGTGTAGGAAAAAACCTGAATATATAAGTTGAAGAAGGTTCACAGAAAGGGAATTTTGTTTTGGGTCAAAGCTGGTTATGATTTGATTTTTTTAAAATAAGATTGTCAAAAAAAAACTATAGCTGAAATTATTGATTCAAAACTGTAATTTTTGCATTACCAAGCTATCGTTTTGAAAAACAAAATTGTAATTTGGTTTTCTCTTTGTTAAAATGACAGTATTTCCTTGGATTCCTTGAATTGTTGGTCTGCTCTTAATAAGAAGTTGTAGGTGGTTATTCTTTACCTTCTGAATAGTCTTCCTGGGTAACAGAGATTCTCTGCTTTACCAGAATAACCTGCTGTGGTTTATGTTGACTTTATTTTGTCCTTGATTATTTAAGAAAATGAAGACTTCTAATGTCACACTTCTTTACAATCATGTCACCTTTTATGTTCACTTTAAAATATTTCATTTTTACTTTGAAATGAGTTACAAAGTATTGTCTCTCAGGTATTCATGGTCTTCTTTCTCTTTTAACTCTTTAAATCTCATGACAACTTTTGATTTTTGCCTTCTCAAAATTGAATGCTATCTTTTGCAATTAAAACTGCTCTTAAAATTTCTCAGAGGAATCATGGAAAGTAAGAAAAGATTTATTCTTTCATCTTGAAAAAAGAGAGGTGATAAAAATAATTTGGATTTTTTTTTTGGTGTGTTACTATAGATGAGTTGCATGGGAAGCATTGTCAAATCAGAAGAGATGTTTAGCTTTCTCTAGGTTAAGTATGCAGGCATTAAATGTTATTAATACAAATATTTCAGAAATCATATGCTGTATTGCAGGGTCTTAGAGATTAGTTGATTTCCTTATAGTTCATGATATATTTGATTAATCAGAATCCAAATACTGTTTTGCCCAATATCAGACAACAGCAGTATAGAATATGATATTTTCATACCATAATTTTCGTTATTTAAAAAGTATTAACTTGGTCTAAATTTACTTTTTAATTTGAATTCAGTATCTCCTATGCTGCTGATTTTTAACTGGGCATTTGCCTTAATTCACTTACCTATGGAGTTTTATTAATATATAGATATTTAAGGCCTACTCCAGATTTAGAGAATCTCCTTTCTTGATATTCTTAATATATTCTAACTATGTGCTTGGTATATTCATAGTAAATTATGTCTCAGGGTTAATATATGTCATATTATAGTGTTTTTCTTTGTAAATATTAACCTATTTTTGTAAATTAGATGCAATATCCACTCTTTGAAAATAAGGATAATTATTATGTGTGTAGATGTATTGTCTAAAACATTTTGGATTGACTTTTATCTAGTTTTGCGTGCCATACAAATAACCAAATTTCCTTGTTAATTATATTATTTTTATAATAAACTTTTATCAGATCTTTCTCTTTGAAAATTACCAGTAATATATTAACCATAGCTATTTTAAATTTTTTGTCATTTATGCATATATTTTTTGTTGGTTTTACTCTAATGTTTCCCTGAAAGCATTTGCTATCAGCTACAGGCCAGAGCTTTTTATTTTCAACATGGAAAGACTGTTTCAGAGGCCCATGGAAAAGGTCTATGCCAGGTACTTTGGGGCATGGGCTTCTGATGACATTGTTTAAATGACTTTGATATCATAAAAGTGGAATTAATCACGATTTTCAGAATTCTAGTAAAGAATCCGATGGGTTTATGGGGCTACTAGCCAAAGAGTAAGCAGAAAAACAATCAATTACATATGACTAGATGAACTGATGAGGGATGATTGTTGGTTTTGCTTGGAATACTGTTAATGTTTTAATGTTCTACTTTCAGGCTTTATAAATAATCTTTCTCTTTTCTTCAAGTTATCTATAACTTATAACTATTTAGTAGATTGTTCTAGTCTGTTCTCATGCTGCTAATAAAGACATACCAGAGACTAGGTATTACAAAGAAAAGGAGTTTTAATGGACTCATAGTTGCAGGTGACTGGGGAGGCCTCACAATCATGGCAGAAGGTGAAGGAGGAGCAAAGGCATGTCTTACCTGGCAACAGGCAAGAAAGCATGTGCAGAAGAACTCCCCTGTAAAATACTATCAGATCTCATGAGACTCAGTCACTATCACAAGAACAGCATGGGAAAACCTGGCCCTATGATTCAATTACCTCCTACGGGGTCCCTCCCATAACAGGTGGGGATCTGGGGAGCTACAGTTCAAGATGAGATTTCAGTGGGGACACAGCCAAACCATATCATAGACCATGCTTTTGTAAATAGAAATAAAACATTTGTAAATGATATCCTTTTATCTCTGCCAGATGAATGTTCTTATTTTCAGAGAGACATAAGCATCTGCATAGGCCCAGTAAGAATCTGTACTTTCTATTACGAGAACATAATTTAAATAATTAGTTATGCAACCAAGGCCTTGCCTAGAGTGTCAGATTTGATAATGATGCTTATTTAATTAGATATGACCCGATTCTTTAAAATAAGTCAGTTTGACTCAATGGCACCAATTTTCACAGATCGCCCTTGGAAAAATTGTACTGGTACCTGCTTATGAGGCTCCCAGTGGTACAGGTGAGCAAGAAAATCACTTCCTGTTTGGCACAATGAGCGGTAAAAAATGAATTCAGCAAGTCCAGGTTGTCCATATGCTGAAGACTCTATAGAAAGATGTGACCCTTTTCCTAGCTCCTGAGAGATAACCCTTGTGCCATGGAGTGAATGTTTGCATCTCACAAAATTCATATGTTGAAACCCTGATCTCATTATGGTGGTATTTGAAGAGATGGCCTTTGGGAGATAATTAGGTCATGAGGGTGGAGCCCTTATGATGAGATTAGTGCCTTTATAAGAAGAAACATTGTTGAGAGATTCCTTCCTTTCTCTTTGCTCTCTGCAATGTGATGAAACACAAAGAAGACAGCTGTCTGCTCACCAAGAAGAGGACCCTCATCAGACACTGGATCTACTGGCATCTTGATCTTGGATTTTCTAGCCTCTTTAACTGTGAGAAATAAAATGTTTAAGCCATCCAGTCTATATTAATTTTGTTATAGCAGCCCAATTGACTAAGACACCTTGGAATATCCTGGCTGATAATAATGTCTTTGTTTACTTGAGGGTCTTGGGCCATGCCAGATAGTCCCTACCATCAATGTAACTTACGGTGGGGGGCATGTGGTATTAGCTTTACCCTGGAGGGGCCAGAGCTAAGGTTAGTCATTGAGACAGTCAGTCATGCCTATGTGACAGACTCTTGATAGCAACCCTGGACACCAAGGCTCAAGTGAACTTCCTTGGTTGGGAATACTCCTGTCTGTGGTCCATAACACACATCATTTCTGGGAGAGATAAGCACTGTACATATGATGCCACTGGGAGGGGACAACGGGAAGCTTGCACCTGTTGTCTCCTGGAGTCTTCCCTGTGTGCCTCTTCTCTTTGTGGTTTTTAGTCTGCATCTTTTCAGGGTAATACACCATAACTGTGAGAATAATGGCGTTTGTGAGTTCTATGAATCCTTTTAGTGAATATAATTCTCTTATGGGTGTAAGTATTACCGGTGAAATCTGGTGGTAACTTGACTTAGCTTCCTAGCTTTCTAGCTTCAAGAGGCTTTTTAAAGTCCAATCTGAGATTCTGTATAAAAATATCTGGTGAAACAAGTTTAGAAAGGCCCATATAGTAAATTACCATTCTTGATGCACCTATGTAAATAGTTATGCCAAATGTAAAGAAATAGTTCTTATTTTATGATTAAGAATAATTTTTATTTGAGGTTATTTTACATCGGAAGAGAAATGGTTATAGAGAGAAAAGTTATATTTCAGTGGAAAACTATGCATTCCCTATAGTTTGCACTTCTGAGTTATCAAATTGTAGTCCTGTTTTTTTTGTCTTTGAGCTCTTTTGAACCTCTTTTAAAATTGTGGGTAAATGATGGGTATGTAAACTCTGTCTTTTTCTGGTAGAGTTTTAATTGACTTCTTCCCTATCTGTGGCAAAACCAGTTTTGGCACCTACCTGTAAATTGAACTGGACATTGTTAGCTTGCCCAAATTGTCAATCATTCTTATATTTTTAATTCTTCCAGTTTCCTTCAAATATGGCTATAATTCATCAAACTTTTCAAATTTTTCTTCTTTCTATATGGCTTGGCATCAAGAACTAAAACATATGTTTTAAGAGTTGTAAACATATGTTTTAAGAGACTCTAGGTTGCCTGGTAGCTGACCCTTTCCCCCAGGATCTGAAAAATCTCCATAAGCCAAACTCTGGCAATTTAATATACACCTGAGTACCTCAGCAGACCATGCATGGGCCATAATTCTCACTTGACAAGCTACTGTCTGGATAACTTTGGATGTCTCGAAAAATGCTCTGGTCATGCATGCATGTGGGAGGTTGTTAATACTATGCATAACACCAGACAACTCCTATTCCTATGACTAGAGATTCATGAAACTCTTTTCCATGTTTTAAGCATTCCTTTTTTAAAGATGACTGATCCCCAGACTCTAAAACAACTGACCTTTGTCGTCACCTCTTAACAAATTGTTCAATCTACTTTAGAGGAAAAAAAATCAACAAGAGTTCTCCAGAGACTATTTCTTAGATCTTGTTCTGTCCCACTAAGGAGGTTTATGATCACTGTTAGGTTGTTCACCAACAAATAACACTTGTCTTTATGAAAGGAAGAATTGACAATGCTAAACTTTATCTGAGTCCCGTGCTCCTGGGAAGAAGTGATGATTAAGAAGCCCACCATCATTTTGTGTTTCTGAAATGTCTAATCACGGAGGATCACCTAATGCTTGCATGTTCCAAGATAAGATCAACCACTGTCTTTTCTCATGAGTCCCATAAGAGTTGTGGATGACTTCCTTGTTTTTGACCTCTGTAAACCCTCAGGTCTCCTGCCTTTCACTTGAGATGTTCCTCTATAATGAATGTTTTCCCAATTGCAATAGCCTAAATAAAATAATCTCCACAATTGCCAATTGCATTTTGTTTATCACAACAATTACAGACCTTGGAAGTGTGTGTGTGTGTGTGTGTGTGTGTATGTATGTTGTGTAAATCAAGGAAAAGAACTAATTTTCACTTTTTAAGAAAAATTAACGAGATAAGAGAAGCGTTGCAAAATGCAGAGTGCATATTAATCAATGTAAAGGAGTCAGTGCAAAGTGACTATGAGCATTAAGCCCCTCAGAAATTCTCTTTGAATATCTGGGAGGGCCTCATAGTAGTGCTTCTCAAACTTTAATGTATGAACAACTCTTATAGGAGCTTCTTAAAATGAGATTCAGATTCAGTAGAGCTAGTGTAAGTTCCGTATTTTTGCTTTTCTCCCAGACCATGTTGATGCTGCTGTCCATGGTGCTCACTTTGAGTAGCAAATCTTTGCAGGACATGGAATGGAAGTTTGAGCTAATCTTTTCTGGAGCTCAGGGATGACCCTGGCTGACATTGAGTTATACAATCCACGCAATGATGTCAGTGTATGTTTTATCACTCTGCATATTTCAGAGAAACTTGAATCTATACCATATAGTCCACTCTCATGACAGTGTTAGGAGGAATAGCTGACTTGCAACTTTGTTCCCAGGAGGTAAAATTAATAACCACAGCAAAAGGTGGTGACTCCTTTCAAGGCTATCTCACAATAGGTAAAATCAGTCAATAAGAGAACTGAGATTTTTCAAGCAATCGGTTTGATACAATATATCATAAATTTATATCTCATAAGTCATAATATGTTGTAAATGCAGTTTTAACAGCTGCAGCCTTTACAGACTTTTAAAAGCATAGTGATTAACACTGCATTTCTTTTTAACAAAACAAAAGCAAATGTTTACTTTAGTTCTCCTATTGCTTTAAAAACAGGTATGAGGAATTGATGTTCATAGTATGGTACCAAAAGCAATATTAATATTTAAACAGTTTTCTGCACATGCAGAATTATATTGTCTCTAAAAATATGATATCTTGGCTTCTTATATGTATGTGGCTATCTAAATGCAGATTTTTTTTTGCAGCTAGACCTTGCTCCATCCAATTACACAGCCAGGCAGCAGACACTGTACTCATCTCCAGGATAAATTCCCATTAGACAGCATGAGATTGAATTTACAGTACAGCTTGAGCCTTTCTAGCACAGATTATATTTTCAAATTTACAGTGTACTGTTTCACATGAGATGACTGATTCATTACAGATGCATTACAGTGAGGCTGTTTTTTCTTGTGTCCCCACTGTGTTTTTGGACCTAGGAAATTCATACCAACTGTACATTGGTATTCACTTTGATGTAAAACAAAGTTCCTGATGTCTAAACTTCAAGGAGTTCTGGAAGAGTTATATACACAAATATGGTTAACAGAAACGAGCATTTTGAGCACATAAATCCTCCATCATAATTTTGAAATTATTTCCCTAGTGAATTCACCCATATGCCCACAACCTTCAAATATAATAGAAAGTAATGGCTACTATTGTCACACTTTTCACAAGAGAGGATTGAATTGCAATGCATTGCAAGGAGAGAGAAATAGACTAGAGGTGCTTAAACGATTTTGGTGACCTAATGAGATAAGGAAAGTGAGCATATTTAATAGTGCAGTGAGCAGCAACATTATTACCTTTTATTTGTAGAGATAAGAGGGAGTGTGTGTGTGTATGTGTGTGTGCACTCACACTTGGGTATGTAGCTAAGGTCAGTCAAACTGTATCTAGGCTAATAAAAGATAGTTTTAAAAAACCTATCCTTAATCCTTACAATTAAGGATTCTATTTATACATTTCTATTTGTGCATTTAAAAGAGAAATGCTTTGTTTGATTTAAAAATATATATTCATTTACTTAGGGTCATATTTCTAGAATTCAAAGAATGTAGGTTTACCCTTTGTGTCCCCAGCGTAAGAGTCACATTGCACGTGCTCAGCAGTTACAGAATATTATTATTCTAAGTGAGTTTTCAATAGCTCACCTACATAGCAGATTAGGCAAAGATAAAAGAAGAAAAAAAAGTAACTGCAGGACACTTTACTTTTTTGTGATAATCTGGCAAAGTTATATGTTTTGATACTGACAAAGCAAATCAATGACTTTGGTACTTGTTATCATTCTCTATCAATTCCACTTTCTTTCACCCCTTATTTCAAAATTTCTCTTGTCCAAAAGTCAACAAATTGTGCCTCACCAATTTCTAGGCTCACTATAAAAAATCCAGTAACACAAACAACCCTATGGAGTTTGATGCCTGTAGCACTGAATTTATGATACATAAGTTCATCTGTATTTCTGATATTTGGTCAGCAAGTATTGCCTCCATGGTTACTCCAGATTTTCGCAAACTCTCAAGTCTTCCACTCAACTTCTAGCTTCTTCTCTCTTTACAGATACTCATTTAATTCACAGAAGGCATGGGGACCAATGTCTCCATATTCAAAGCTGTCTTGTATTTATAGTAAGACAAATACACCACCTCTAAGTAATAACAATTTTTCTTTTCTTTTTAATTATTTATGTCTTATTTTTCTTTCATACTATATTCCAATGATTTCAATTTCCAGGAATAATGTTAAATAATGTTGTTTCTAAATTTAATGCAGCCTTCAAAAATATTTCACCATTAAATATGATGTTTCTCTAAGTTAATTTTCTTGTATTTTATTTATACTTATTTGATATTTCTTTTATCTGGCTTCTCTAATTGGATTCTGCTTAGTCCATTAATTTCTAAAGATATTCCTTCCTTTCTAAATATATTTTAGTCCATTTATTTGTTTTGGGGGGGTATTATTTGAGCTACATCCTATAAATTTTGACACAAAGTGCTTTCATTGTCATTCATTTTTAAAATTTCATACATAATTTTATTTAGAATGAGGTTTTATAATTTTTAATATATTTTTATGAGAGAAAAGGGGAATCTTACATGTTGATTAGAATATATGACCTGCCTGGTTTTAAATTTTGGAATTTAAAATTTTGTTTGTGAACAAATACATAACCAATTTTGTATGTGTTTAATAGATGTTTTAAAAACCTGTTATAGTTTAAGATCTATTACTTATTGGATTCTTTCACTGAGATCATAATAATGTATAGGGGAGAAAAAGATAATTCTTACTCTACATTTATAAGTTTTTGGTTGGAACTCCCTGCAACAAAAGATAGATTAACAAGAGAAAAACAAACAAGTTTATTAACGTCTATACTTCAGGTGAACATGAGGGATACCCAGGGAAAAATAAATAACTCGGAATTCAGGTATATGTAGCATCTTCACCTAAAAGCAAAATATAAGAAGGCTGTGGCAGAGGTCAGTTAGGAAAGGTGACCAGGAGAAGCATGGCAAACAAAAGTAAGGTTTGTTACGCAGATTTCAGTTACCACCTTCCACATTGATAAGAGTCTTTTGTTATTTAGCCATCCTTGTCTTCCTGATACAAAGAGAGAGAAACCCCCATAAATGGAGATTTCCTTTATAGATATAAATTTCTCTTACAAAAGGGTAATTTCTACTGTGTTTTCAGAGCTTATGCTATTTCTCAGAATAATCAGTTCAAAACAATTCTTATGGTAAAGAGGCATTTTTGGTTTTCTACAGTCTTATTTTGTGGTAGCATATTATAGCCTCCTACAAATGCCCACCTTTTTGTTCTTAAACTCTTCCAGGACTTTGGGATCCTCTTCTAGGTAGGTAGCTCCTCCTCCTTTTTCCTTGTAAGTCTTTGAAAAAGTGAACACTTGTTGAATCTACTTCCACACTTTCTGTTCACTCTTCAATATTTTGTAGTCTGCCGTTCATTTCCAAAAGGCAACCCCAGTTACCAATCTAATTTCTTAATTGCTACATCCAGTGGCCCCTTCACAGTCCTTATCTACCTTAGTTGTCTCAATTTGTAGCCACAGTTTGGAGAATAAAACTTTACAATTAATTTTCCACTCTAAGAATATATGTCTTCTTTTATAAGTCTCATTTTAGAAAGAGACTATTTAATTTTCTTAAGGTTTAAACGAGTAGTGAGGTGATAGGGAATGAAGAAAAAATAGTTAATATGTTTCTATTGGAGAAATAAAGAGTGGAATATTAAAATTTATCTGCAGCTCAAGATTTAAACTAAGTCACTGTAAAATTCTTGCTGCATGTGTCGAAAGATGAAATTGCAACAAATTTAGTTTAGAGATCTAAATTGCCTGTATTGTAATTCTAGAATCGGGTAACACTTCATTCCACAAACTATAATAAGTGTTCCAATGAGTTGAGTGGAGGAGGTTGGGTTTATAAACAGAAAAAGGGCTGAAGAAAGCAGAAATAAAGAACAAAAAGCAGACCGATCATTTCAAAGTCATTTTCCTTGTAAGGCAGGTGCAGGAAGACAGAACAATAGAACGATAACTGATTGGTTAACTCTTGGTGGTAGAGATTAAAAGAGAGGGAACTTAATTTTCATGGAGTTTGAAGAATGAAACTGGCCTGTTTGGGAAATTAGGCTGTTATCTCTCCCTCTTGATTGCTAGGAAGGACAGATAACAATTCAGTTTTGCTTTGGTGAGCACAGGTGATTTGATTTTGATTTTGAGTATGGTCTCTTGAGGTCTAATGTAGGAATTTATTCCAAAGCTACCGCCTCCTATGATTTTTGTTTAACACATGGTTTCAGCATTCTGGCTCCCCTGCTGTCACACATATCTTTGCTCTGTGCACCTCTACAGGTCAATTTGGAAGCAAGGGGAAGAGGCAAGTTTGGAACATTGGGTCAGCCTGACAGATTCTCATTCATGTCTTGTTCTTTAGCACAGGGGCTTTCTCTGTCCAAAATACCTTTGTTTCCACAGCTTCCATGATAATTTCACTTGCAGAGCTGCTGGAACTCTAGCGCTGGAAAACATACCATGTGGTGTTCTTCTGACATCAACTTTCTTGGTGCCAGGACAGAGGATGGGGGAATAGATGCAGAATGTGTATGACACTGCAGGGTCCAGCCTCTAGGTCTGATTGATGCATGCGGATTAAGTAGAGGAAGACTAAAGGACACAGATCAGGGTACTGAAGTCCAGGCGTAAATCTGGAGAAATCATTCAACTAAAATAGCTAGTAAAAGCAGAGTAATAGGGAACAGTAAAGAAAAAATACTTGATTCCTCAGCACATTTCTGATCCAGTCAGGAGCTTTTTATATGATTCCTGCTTAGGTAGAAGGAGACGGTTGCAGAAAATGTACAGGGTGTGGAAGTTACGAGAGCGACGGGGGAGCAACTAAAGGCAGATTTGGCATTTCACATAGTGAGCTCTGAGTTTGTTTTGAGAGAATCATTTCTTACTTCTTTCTCTTCCTTCATGATCCTTGAAGCAGCAGAAGTCATTTTTACATAAATTTCTTTCCCCTTGATTATAGAAATGTTGATGGAACTTTTGAAGATGTTTAAGTGTTTTACATCCCCAAATAACATAAACAACAAATGAACTGGATTACCATATGAAAAATGACAGGTTTTTTCCTTTTTCTTGCATTGAAGTTAACAGGATGCAGAAAACCTATTGTTACTTGTTACTCCTGTTTGCACATTAAAAATAACACATATAAGCGAAGTTTGGGTCAAACTGGGCTTCTATTCTTCAGTCCTTGTCTTGTTCAAGGTTGTTGTGTTACTCTTTCAGGATACACTTGAGAAGTATCTGCTGACATTTAGAAAAAAATGAGATTCTTTGTTATAAATCATGTAAGCACAGTGTTCCTTTCTTTTTTTCATACAAAGTGAGAAAATAGAAATTTACCAGGTTAGAATGAAATTTAACAGACTCTGTGATAATTAACAGCTCAGTGTTTAGATCATAATTCCTTGCTTCTTTTATTTCAGCAGAAATAACCATCAACCTTGAAGCTGGAACATGTCATAAAAGGGGAGATTGAATTCATGGACTGGGAGTTGGAGGCCCTTTAGGAGGCTACTGCAGAAACGTGTGTTTTGCTATGACCTTTGGTGTTATAAAAAATTATAGGTTCCTCTCATCGGTTTCTAATTTTCTTATCCCAAACTTTCTCAACACGAGATGGTTTCAAGTGGTCACTATACTTGAGCTCAGAATAATTATAATAGGGCATGTGGTGGCCAGGACAGAAAAGTGACTGAGTGACTGTGGGAACTGACAAATATTTATTTTAGTTTGTGATATTGTGACTCGCTGTATTACGGGTTCAAAATCTTCTCAAAGACTAATTCTTGTTCTGATCTTTCAGGATTTTTTTTTAATGCTCTATTTTACTAAACAGTGTAATATTCAAAAGGCATTTAGAATTTACTGATTGTCTACTATATGCCTGGCATTTATATGAGAGTTAAGATTATAAAAAAGACAGTCAACTAAACTTTTATCAGAGTTTAGTTGTCAGTCTCCTATGACAGAACCATATGGAGTTATCCTGTCTAAAATGGTAGCCAGTTGCTACATGTGGCTAATGAGCACTTGAAATGTGGCTAGTCTGAATTGAGGTATATTGTAAATATAAATTACACTCTGAAATTTGAAGGATTAGTATGGGAAAATTTAACATTTCTATTAATAATTTTTATACTGATTACTTGCTGAAATATTATTTCAGCAATAATAAAAATTATTAATAGAAATGTTAATAAACATTAACAGTAGTTGGGTTAAATTTAATAGTAAAGTTGATTTCACAGGTTTTTTAATGTGGCTGCTAGAAATTTTAAGATTATATAAGGTACTTGTATTTGCGGCTCACATATATTTTGATTGGACATCACTAGTCTAGGATGTTTGTTAAAATAGCAAGTCATAATGTTCCATTTACAGACATTGTGACCACCCAAAGTGTTCACCTTGCCTACTGCCTAAACAGAGCCAATTTAACTAGATTGGCTCCCCTAGACAGGGGAATTGCAATGGAGAAAGAGTAATTCATGCAGAGCCAGCTGTGTGGGAGACCAGAGTTTTATTATTACTCAAATCAGTCTCCTTGAGCATTCAGGCATCAGAGTTTTTAAAGATAATTTGGCTGGTAGGGGGCTTGGAAAGTGGGGAGTGATGATTGGTCAGGTTGGAGATGGAATCATAGTGGGGGTTGAAGTGAGATTTTCTTGCTGTTTTCTGCTCCAGGGTGAGATCACAGAACTGGTTGAGCCAGATTACTGGTCTGGGTGTTGTTAGTTGATCCACCGAGGCAGGGTCTGCAAAATATCTCAAGCACCGATCTTAGGTTTTACAATAGTGATGTTCTCCCCAGGAGCAATTTGAGGAGGTTCAGACTCTTGCAGCCAGAGACTGCATAACCCCTAAACAGTAATGTCTAATCTTGTAGCTAATTTGTTAGTCCTACAAAGGCAGACTGGTCCCAGGTAAGACGGGGTTCTTTTTGGGAAAGAGATATTATTAATTTTGTTTCAGAGTCAGACTATAAATTAAATCCCTTTCCAAGGTTAGTTCAGCCTGTGCCCAGAAATGAATAAGGACAGCTTAAATGTTAGAAGGAAGATGGAGTCAGTTAGTTCTCATCTCTGTCACTGTCATAATTTCCTCAGCTATAATTTTTTTTTAAAGGCAGTTTCAACATTCTGAGTCAGGTCTGTGGCTGGGAACCAGAAATCTATATTTTCAAACAAGCACCTCAGATGTGATCTAAGGACCATACTTTGAAAACAAAAAACCTTGAGTGCAGGGTTAGTCATAGAGACAGACAACTGAGTAATAAAGAAAAGTGATTAAAGAATAATAAAGGCTATGGCAAAAGAAAGTTCAGTGTACTATAAAATGCTACATTGAGAATTTTGAGTAAGAGAAGGTGAGTCAAAGTAAGTTTTCCAGAGAAATAAACTGAGTCCTAAATACTGAGAAGGAGTTAGCCAGGCGAAGATGAGGTCTTTATTCCAAGTAGAGACCAGTGCAAAGGTCAGAGGTGAAAGCAAGGCAGCTTGGTGCATTGCAGGAACTAAAATTTATTATGTGGCTGGAGAGGGATGATGGAAGTTGGGAAAAATAGAGATGATTCAAGAAAAATCGGTCATGAGGAACTTGTAAACCATGTTATGAGATCTGGATTTTATCTTAAGGTAACAGAACATTATTGAAAAGATTTTAAGGAATGCAGTGGCGCTATAAAATGAGTAGTAGGAACACCTTGTAGTCAGGGATGCGTCAATTACAATGTTGTCATGGAATTGAAGTGTGAGAATATTCACTTGAAGTTACTTTGTTTTTAATATAGACTATGAATCTTATGATTTTGTCTCCTCTTTGTTGTGATGACTTAGAAATGTAAATGCAAATTTGTGACTCTGTTTAGCCTTATACATGACAGAATGGTTTAAATTTCTGTGTTACAGTTTTATGAATGAAATTACCATTTTTCTCCCCTTAAATTCCTTTGACTCCCATATTCTCAATTAGTTTGTGTTTTGTGCAATTTTAAACAACCTCACTTTGTGTGTGTTGTGAATAAAGCAAGATATAAATAAATATGGAGTAATCTTTTATTTTATTTAATTTTTTATTTTTATTTTACTTTAAGTTCTGGGATACATGTGCTGAATGTGCAGGTTTGTTACATAGGTATACATGTGCCATGGTGGTTTGCTGCACCTATTAACCCGTCATCTAGGCTTTAAAGCCCCGCATGCGCTGGCTATTTATCCTAATGCTCTCCCTTCTCTTGCTCCCCAGCCCCCGACAGGTCCCATGTGTGATGTTCCTCCCTCTGTGTCCATGTGTTCTCATTGTTCAACTTCCACTTATGAGTGAAAACATGTGGTGTTTGGTTTTCTGTTCCTGTGTTAGTTTGCTGAGGATGATGGTTTCCAGCTTCATCTATGTCCGTGCAAAATCTGACTGCAAAAACATGCTGTACAAACTAAAGATGTGATTATTATAAGTCTGTTAAAAAAAACTGTAAAAATTAAGAAGAAGAAGAATACATTTCCTTGTAAGCTAAAGATTTTGCCTTGCTTAATCTATAGTATTTATGACTAACCTAACAAGAATTGCTACCCCTGTTGCATGCAGAATGTTCTGCTAGGCTACAAGTAATGGCTATTTATTGTTGATTTTTTCAAAGGGATTTAATAATCTGTTTGTGGGTTTTTTTGGCATATTACTTATCAGGTATGAGCTCATCAATTTAATTTATTTACATTTTCTATAATATAAATTCCCCAAACTTGTTTTCCATTACCTAACAATCATGTGGGACCTAGCTTTTGATAAAAATGCTATCAATCTCTTATATTGATCTTTCCAAACTGGATGATAAAGTTATCCTTTTTTTTATATCTTTATAGTCACATGGGGAATTTATTTCATATATAGTAACAGAAGCTGGCATTTGTATGATAATTTCCATTTATTGCATCCATTATCTTCTAACCCAGTGAATTACAGAATTCTGGAGATATTGTTCTGAGGATTTCTTCCTGAGCTAGGAAAGAGTATATATCCCAGACCAAATTACAAGGTGTTTCCTCAGCTTTTTCATGGCAAGGTTTTAAAATTGGTGTGGAGCATTGTTACAGAGAAGTTGAAATTGTTTCTGTGCTTTTAACTTTTATTTTATTAGAAAAGTATAACTGTTCATTATAAAGTAATGCATGTCAGTTAAAACTTTAGGAGCCTGCCCTGGTTTCCACAACACTGTACACTCCTTGTTTACTTCCACCTCCCTGACAATTCCTCCCAGTTTATTTTGCTGGCTCCCTTTTCCTTCCTCAGCTGCAAATTTGGCATTCTTAAGGCCTCAGCCCGTAACCTTTTATCCCCCTTTCTCTATCTACATGAACTCTTTATGTGGTCTGTGTTAATCCTCTGGATTTAAATACATCTGTATACTGATGACTCAGAAATATAAATCTCTAGTACTAACCTTTTCCTTAAGTTCCAGACTTCTATATCTATTTAGATTTTTCATAGGCATCTCAAATTAACAAGTCCAAAAGAGAACTTTAAATTTCTTCCCTTCTAAACTTGCATCTTCCTAGTCTTTTTTTATCTCAGAAGTAATATTTTCCACCCATTGTTCAGATTAGACCTACAGGCCATTTAAAATTCCTCTCTTTTCCATTTTAAATGATGAAGATAAGGATAACTCACATTTATTGAGAATTTTAATGCCCATCAGGCCCTCTTCTAAGGACTTCAATTCTAAAAACTAGGGACAATTATTATCTCCATCTTATAGATGGGAAAACTGAGGTACAAAGAGATGATTAAACTTGTCCACTAAGTGGCTGAGTTGAGATTCAATTAGGAGAAAGGCCTGTTGATTCTACCTGCAAGGTTTATCCAGAATTTGTCCATGTATCTGCATTTTTGCTGCTAATAAATGTAGTTGACATCATAATCCCTCTCATCTGGACCACCTCAACATCTCCAACCAACTTCTGTTCTTTTTCTAATTCAAACCACTTTGTAATGGTCTTTTCATATGCATGTCAAGTTGAAGTAGTCCATTGACTTCCCATGGAACTCAGAAAAAAAAGTAAGTTTTTCATAGGGTGTTGTACAAGGTCCTACACAATTAGGTCTCCAACCTCCCCAACTTCACTTGACCCATTCTTCTTTCCCTCGTTCTCTAGACAAGAGCCATACAGGCCTTTTAAGTTTTTGAGACAACGAAACTTGTTCATACCGCAAAGCCTTTATAGTTGCTATTCCCTCTTCCTGGCATGATCTTTTCTCGGCTTGTTGAATTTCTAGCTCCTTCTCATCATTGAGGTTTCACCTCATTTGTTATCTCCTTAGAGTCAATGCTTCAGTCACAGCCCACTCCCACACTCACATGCTATCCCATTATCCTGTTTTATCTTCTTCAGAGTACTTACTTGTGCTAATATTACCTTATGGTTTGTGTAATTATTTACCATCCTGACCTAGACCCTAACTAGACTGTAAACACAGTGTTAGCAGAAACTCAGAGCTGTATTACCAGAGTTCCTGCCAACACAGCATTTACAGTTTAGTCAGAGTCAAGAGCAAGATGTGTGCAGGCTCACAACTCTATCATCAGTTCTAGACAATTGCTTGGAAAAAGAGTAGGCACTTAATAAATATTTATTACTAAATATGTTTTACTTTCCTGAGTTGTCCAAAGATGAGTAACTACTACTGCTGCTGCTGTTGTGACTTTGTGGCCTGGCTGAACCAATACATTTGACACAATATCCCCAAGGAACTTTTAACCACAAAAAGACAATTTATAATTTGTTTGTCAATTTTTTAAAGATACAGCTCAAGAGGACTAGGACTAGGGTAAGGTGAAAGAGGCACTTGCATCAGGCACAAAATTTAAGGAGGAGTCAAAAAACTTGGTGATAATAGTTTAATGCAACATTAAAGAAGAATCAAATCAGCAAAAAATGACCTAAATTAAAGACTGCCTGCTATTGTAAATAAAGTTTTAAGCTTGCACTAGATTCTGTCATCCATGAGGATCCATGAGAGCAGAGCTTTGTTTACCAGTTTTCCTATTGCTTGCCTAGAAGAGTTCTGGTCACATAGTAGACATTTAATAAATGTTGATGAATTTATTGAGGATTTATTTGATGAATTACTACTAAGTAATTTTTGATTTGAGAAAAAAATATGAATACCCACTATGGGTAAAGCACTGAACTTTTTATTATAAACTAAAACAAACCTTGAGATGTAGCCCATGCCCTCAAGAGAGGGTCTGAAGATCACAAAAGGGAGTTTATAATTATGAAACGCCAGTCAAGAGTCAAGAAAAACACTTTCTTCAGCTTTCCTGTTTTTTTAATCGAATTAAATTAATTAATTAATTAATTTATTTATTTATTTTGAGATGGATCTTTGCTCTTGTTGCCCAGGCTGGAGTGCAGTGGCACGATCTCAGCTCACTGCAACCTCCACCTCCCAGGTTCAAGCGATTCTCCTGCCTCAGCCTCCCAGGTAGCTGGAATTACAGGCATGTGCCACCACACTCGGCTAATTTTGTATTTCTTAGTAGAGACAGGGTTTTTCCATGTTGGTCAGACTGGCTGGTCTAGAACTCCCGACCTCAGGTGATCCACCTGTCTTGGCCTCCCAAAGTGCTGGGATTACAGGCGTGAGCCACCACGCCCAGCTTCTTCAGCTTTCTGTGTTACTTTGATGGCTTTTTCTCTCTCCCAATCTCCTACATTGATTTTGTTGTTGTTATCCTAAAGACCATCTTTTTTCTTTCTATCTTGCTTTTCTTTTCCTGGTCTCTTTCCCATTTCTATTTCCCAGGGCAAGTATAATATAGTTAAATGTGTGAAATGGGGAAAAAAGAACATAGTCAAAACAATTTGTCTTCCTGGAATTAAGGCTAAGTGTGTTGGAGCAAAAGAAGCTTTCTCTCTGCGTTCTGAATGATAACTGAGTCCGCTGAGATAAACTGACAATAGATCAATTAACAAGAGAAAAGGCACACAAATTCATTAATGTGCAAGCACACAGGAGCCAAACAAAGTGTGAAACTCAAAGAAGTACCAGATGGTTGAAGTTTAAATACCGTCTTCATAGGGGAGAGGGAAGTGGGGGAATGTAGACAATTTCAGAGGAAGAGTAAATGATTTTTAAGGGAGATGAATGGGTGTAAAGAACAGACAATAGCCCAGGACAGGGAACTGGTATAGTGTCAACTTAGTCTTCCTTCCTGAGTTAGGCATCAGTTTCCCCTAATTGATGAAATATCTGGAGAAGGGATTCACAACAGTTGAATATCTTCTGGGGGATCTGGCCTTTAGGTAGATAGGAAACTTCAGAGAAAACCCTTCTCTGCATTTGCTGCTGCCTAGGTTCTCTCAGTTTGAAGTCTGAAGCAGCATATTTTGAAATATTGTTTTCTGAGCCTCAGTAGGTGAAAACACTCAACCTCAGGCTGTCACAGACTGCTTATTCCTCTCACATGATCATTTCCTAGTTCTCAACACCCATTCTGGTGCTCATCAACACAACTGAACTGTGCACACTAATCACATTTAAGTTCAGATCCTTTCACTACTGCAGGAAACATAATACCAGTCATGATTTTTTTGTCTTTTTTCTTCACATACATGAAAATTGATTTTGAAAAAATATTGTATTTGATTATATATATGTGAATATACTTGGAGACCTTTTAAAAAATTGTATAAAGCCTAAACTTTTCTTATGCAAAAAGCCAAGACTGTTATATTTTCAGATCAGTATTTTCTAGGCTGTTTGAATTCTGTGTTTCCTATCTTGATATTTGACAGCAAAACATAATGTATTATTATCAACTGAAGGCTAAATTATCCCTAAAACACTTATTTGCTGGGATCCCTTCTCTTGTCACCTCCTTCTGAGAGGGATAATATGAAATAAATTAATTTTAGCATACCTAATAGGGCCAGTAGATTTAAAAATCTGCTGAGTTGCTAGTGAGATGAGGGGCGATATACTGCTCTGGGGAATGTATCAAATTGCATCAATTTACCTTCCCCAGAGCAGTGTGTCGCCCGTCATCTCACTATCAACCCAGATTTTTAACTCTACTGGCCCTATTAGGTATGCTAAAATTAATTTATTTCATATAAAGAGTCTTAAACAGTTCAAATTATAATCCTGGAATTCCCCTTATAGATTATATACTTAAAAATAATACAAAATGTGGAGACATGTATCTGCACACAGATAGTGGCTATTGTGTTATCTGGAATAGTGGAAAATAAGAAGCAATCTGGATGTCCAAAATGAAATAAACAATTGGTTTAAAAATATTATGGTAAAATCTGGTAACTGACTACTAAAGCACACATCAAAGAAATAATCCTAGCTAGTTGGGAGACCAAGTGGGAGGATCACTTTAGCCCAGGAGTTCAAGATCAGCTGGGGCTACACAGTGAGAGACCCCTTTTCAAAAACAAAAACAAAAACAAAAAAACACAAACAAAAAACAAACCAACAAAACAAAACAAAACAAAACATTTAATACTTCAAAGCTTTTATCAACCACATGGGGAAATGTTCTGTGAAAGAGCCAGGGTACAAAATTGTGTATAAACCTAGACTTTAAGTAAGTTTAAAAAAAACAAAAACAAAACAACAACTACTACTATATATATATATATATATATATATATATATATATATATATATATGGGCAGATTTTACCTAAAAGGAAATCTGCCAAGGGTAATAATGATGGCTTCTGGATGATGAATTCATAGGTAGTATTTTTATTTAGAGTTTTCTATATTTTTATATTTTCTACAGTAAATATAGGCCACTTTGATCACTGGGAGAAATAAACTGTTTTTATAAGTGCAGTAGCTTCTCCTTTGATTCAGGATTATTCCCCGGAGTTCTGCTCTAGTTGTGATCACATCCGGAACCTTAAGATTCCTCTGCTGCCTAATAAACCAGAGAACAGAATGATCTGGACGATTCATCCAGGATTTGGCTTGAGCTGCTGTATTCATCACAGGGTCCTTCTGTTCCTGAGCAACTATTGTGGGGTTTATGAGCCCTGGAAGGAATAGCAAGTTAGAGCTGGAATTAGCTGCATTCTGGTCACGGTTACACATATGTGGCTTTCATTGATTTTTATGGGAGATTTGTGCACATAATGGAGAGAGGAATGTCACTGATTTGTTTTAATTTAGCTTGAGCAGTAACCCTTTACTAATGTGACTCCTTCTATAAGAGGCAAATCTGCTCTCAATTTTGTTTTTGTTTTTTTTTTAGTCGTGAAAAGCATTGGTTTAGATTTCTATAACCAAGGAAGTACCAGTGGTGACTTCAGATCAACTTAGGCACTTGCATGTGAGTCATGCTATTATTTGCTTTTCATTGGCTCAAACATCTAATCATCTCAGTTGTAACTTAATAAAACCAAGATTTGTGTAGTGTTCCTCCCACCCTTCTCCCTCCAGTTCAGATTATACATTAGACAAGCGTTTCTCAATGTTAGCACTATTGACATTTGGGGATGCATAATCCTTTGTTGTAGGGGACTGTTCTCTGTGGGATGTTTAGTAACATCCCTGACCTCTATGCTCTGGATGCTAACAGCAGTCCTTTTTTAGACTCCTAGGGGTCTAAATCGCCCCCAGTTGAGAACTATTGGATTAGACAAAGTATAAAGAAAAAGCTAAATAGAATAAAATAATTAAAAATTATGGACATGTTATTAAAATCACTAACACTCTTCTTGTTTAGGAAATAATTTAATATAGCTAAAGAAATCTGCACACTTTTTAGCAAAATATAATAAAAATACATAAAGTAATAACAAGAAAGAAAAAAATTGATAAATTTGACTTCATCAAAATTTAAAACTTCTGCTTATCAAATGGCTGTTAAGAAAATGAGTAGACAAGTCACAGATTTGGGGAAAACATCTGCAAAACATGCATCTGACAAAGAACTTATGTCCAGAATATATAAAGATCTTCTATAACTCAACAGTAAAAAAAATCCAATGCCAAAAATGAGCAAAAGATCTGAACAGACACTTCACAATGGAAGTTATACAAATAGCCAATAAGCATATTAAAAAGTGCTCAACATCATCAGGCATAAGGGAAACAGGTTAAAATGTAAATGACGTGCCGGAGTGTCTAAAATTAAAATGGCTGACAAAAATGTTGGCAAGGATATAAACAAATGAAACAGCTATAAAGTGGGGGTATAAATTTTATACTCCAAAAGGAACGTTTAGAACAAGGTTTAGTGGTTTCTTATCAGGGTAAACATGCTCGTGTTCTATGAAATGGCAATTAAACTTCTAGATATGTACCCAAAATATATAAAAATATTGATAAAAATACTTGTATAAGAATGTTCATAGCATTCTGGTTCATTATATTCCAATACCAGAAACAACCCACATGAAGATATCATGTGACTTCTATATAAGGCAATCTTGGGATATAAGGGACACATCACTTCTGTTGTATCCCTGCCCAAAATGCAAATGTTAATTCAATCATAAGGAAGCCTCAAATAAACACTGATCTGTATGGTTCAAAAATGTCAAGTCACAAACGACAGAGATAGGCCAAGAAAGAAATTCCACAATAAAGGAACCTGAAGTGACATGACGCGACCTTAAAGTGCATCCTGGACTGGGAGATAAAAAAATACTAGCTACAAATTACTTTATTTAGCCAGGTAGGACGGCTCACACCTGTAATCCCAGCACTTTGGGAGGGCGAGCCAAGTGGATCCCATGAGCTCAGGAGTTCGAGACCCAGCCTGGTCAGCATGGGAAAGCCATGTCTCTGCAAAAAACACAAATTAGCTGGGCATGGTGGCTCAAGCCTGAAGTCCCAGCTACTTGGGAGGCTGAGGTGGGAGGATCACTTGAGTCCAGGAGGTCAAGGCTGTAGTGAGCTGAGATTGCACCACTTCACTCTAGCCTGGATGATAGAGTGAGAGCCTGTCTCAAAAAAAAAGCACTTTATTCATATAATTTATGATACTTGAATATGAACTACAGATTAGAAAATTAAGCATATCATTTCTTTTAAAAATAATGATACTGTGTCAATCGAGATAAATGATGAGACAAGTCTCAATCATTTTAGGAAGTTTATTTGCCAAAGTTAAGGATGTGGTCCTGGAAAACAGGTCTATACCTTTCTTCAAAGATGGTTTTGAGGGCTTCAAATTTAAAGAGGAAAGGGCAGAATATTGAAAAGTACACAATTTTCATTTAAGAGGCGGGTGGGGAAAAATACATTCATGCCTTTGTCTGGCTCAGTGAATCTGCATTTTACATAAGATGACAAAGGAAAAAAGGGGCAGGGGAACAATCGGATATGCATTTGTGTCTGGTAGGCAGGGAGAATGACTGCGCTTGTAAGGATAAGCTATCAATTTACATTGCCAGGGTGAAATTTTAACAGAAATACCTTAGAGTAAAGATCTTGCATCTCACTGGGAATTTTTTTGTGGGCGAAATATGGAGGACTTATGTAGCTTTTCATCTTGTAGCCACCATATTTATGAACCAAAGAGGGGAAGGTAGGTTTGTGTAACCCAGTTCCCAGCTTGACTTTTCCCTTTGGCTTAAATGAGTTTGGGGTCCTAAGATTTAATTTCCTTTCACAACTGTCACGTAAGAAAATTCCATTTTTTGTTGTGGGGAGGAAATATGCGCTGATATATTTAGGGATAAAGAGACATTTCTCCAATTTATTCTCAAATGGTTCAGAAAAAATGTTATGCACAAGCACAAATACACATGTATGCAAGAGAGGGGATGATAAATGGGCAAAATAGAAACAACTGGTGAACTTGGGTAAACGGTATATTGGATTTTTTTGCAGTATTCCTGCAACTATTCTGTAAGTTTAATAATATCAAGAAAAAGTTTCAAATTAAAGTGAGGAAAATGATGCAAAAGATAAATAAGGATAGTGAAGTTGAATTGCCATAAACAGCTGTATTTTGGTAATAACAAATTACCTCACATTTTGCAGTTTAAAACAAAACACACATTTATTATTTTAGTTTTCATAGGGCAAGATTCCAGGCGTAGCTTACTTCAGTGTCTCATAAAGTTGCAATCAAGATATTGGCTGCATTTTCATTTGGAGGCATGACTGGAGAAGAATACACTTTCAAGCTCATTAAGATTGTTGGGGGATTTTATTCCCTTGTGGTTGTATGATTGACAGTCTCAGCTGAAGGCTGTTCCCAGAGCCCAGAAGGCACCTACAATTCCCCGCCATGTGACCTCTCTATAGGAAGTTTATAATGTGGCTGTTTGTTTCTCCAAAGCTTGCAGAAGAGTGTCTCACCTGTATGCTTAGAGAGTTTTACATAAGAGAACATGATCAAGGGAGTGATATTTCATGTCTTTTGACATATTTTATAGTTAGAAGCAAGTTATAGATGTCTCCCATGCTCCAGGTAAGAGGATTACACATAGGTGTGTAGACCAGAAAATAAGGATTATTGGTGGACATCCTAGGGTTATCTACCACAGCATAAAGTTACTACATCAAATATGATTCATCAAATGATATATGGTTTTTATCTTCAATTTAGACTAAGCTAGAAATGAAAAAATATTTTCTAAGAACTATTACTGGTACATATTTGAGAGTAACAATGTTAGATACTGAAGAAAATATTTGTCATTATTTTTGTAACCAGAGTATTTCGAAACTATTTCCTACATTTCAGAAATATGTTATTAATCCTACCTTCTAAAGCTGTTTAGTCATAAATGTCTTACATCAAATATGTCTGATTATCTTGCTAGGAAATTGTAGAATTGCACTTTCTTACCTTTTTTTTGAGTTGTGTATTATCATTTGACTTATAGGTATCATTATTTGACTTGCTTTGGTCAATGAAATGTAGGTGGAAGCTTTAGTAACCCATATGATTTGCCATATTCATCTTTACCTTACTCATAATCTTTGAAAAAATCTGTGGCAATTGGGCTTCTGTCAGCCTGGATCCTTGAGTGATTACAACAGGCAGAGCCTCTAGGCTGACCCAAACTGAACATGTAGTAACAATGAGAGATGAACTTTTGTTATTTTTATTGACTGCTATTTTTGGCTTTTCTTTTGTTATTGCAGCCTGACCTAGTCTCTCTTGACTGGTATAGACGTTTATAACTAGAATTGTGGAGCTATTTATAAAGCAAACCTAAATTACACAGGATTGGTTTAATGATTAATTGAGTGGTGGTAAAAAAGTAAAAGCTGAAAGAACAGTAATGTCATCTTGATCTTGGGAATTGAAATATTTGGTAAAACTCACACCTAGGAAATAGTTTATGTGCTTAATGATTATGGGACCAGGGACAGAAGTTAGAAAGCATAGTGTGAGCTCCGTATATTGGTTGCTGTTGGTTGTATTGGCAAGGAGTAGCAAAAAAGAGGTGATAGTTTTGATGTGCAAGTTCAGGGACCAGTGCCATTCAGTGTCAGTAGTGCATGCCTCTGTGTGTGTGCCCAGAAGCAGTGGCAGAGGCTTCTCCCTTGGAATAGTTCCACTCTGTGTTTTGGGAGTCATTTCTGGGTGAGGAACCTTGGAGCCTGAATGTCCAGTTCTCAGAGTTATCTAATATCATCTAATTTCAATGAAAAAAAAAAAAACCTGGGCTTTTAAATAATTAAAGTTAGTTTTATTCAGTCTTACTGAAGATCGCAACCTGGGAAAGTTTTGGAGAATTTCTGTTAGACTGCTCCAAAGCAGTGTTTCATGCCACAGCTTATTTAGCAGGAGGTGGATGTTCTGCATGTGCTCAGAAGTTCCATTAAAGCAAAAACGCATCCAAGTTTGGGTGTGAGAGTGTATCTGCCTATAGATTAAAGAGGTATAGTTGTTAACCCTGTCAGATATTATTTTATATACAGGAAAAGGCAGGGGCTAGGATCATTTAACTTATATTTTCTAAAAATATAGTGACTCAGGTAAGCATTATGGGGACCTACACTCTAGCCTGTTTATTGTCTTCAAGGCATTCCTCTGGAGGGATGTGCTTAGTCACTGAGTTTGGGGTTTGTGAAGCTATGCTGACAAGCCATATGAGCAAATAGGATTTCTTTAAGGCAAGGGCCAACTATGTGGCTGGCCAGAAGCAGACATTTGCTACTTGTCTCACATAATAAACCTTATTTCTGTTTATACTTGCCTCTCTATATTTTGTTGCTAGCTCTGGAGGATCCTGACTAATACGGAAAGTAATCATATTTTCACATTCATTGAGACATTTTTATTAAGCACTTCCTGTGTGTCGTGCGTGGGGCTAGATCCTGAACTATAACCATGTTTCTAACAGGCATAAATTTTGACTTCAAGAGGTTTAAATTTTAAAAATTTTTCAGTTCATTGTTGTACAGATTTATGAGTTTATATTAAGGTATATCAATAATATATGCCATCGAAGCCAGTCAGCCTCATACTTTCAATTTGAAATACCATTTTCAGAAATAAATGCATATTTTATTACATGACACTATATAATGGTCATATAAATGAAACTATCTTCCCATTGAATAAAAAACAAAACTGGAAACAAAAGTAACCAAGGAAACATTTCTATCAGGGAGGTTTTTGGTTGTTTGTTTATTTGCTTTTTTACAGTTTTTAATGCTAACTTTAGTTTACTTTTGTGATACTTATCAGACAATTTTATTCTTTTTCTGGAGTACTGTTTCACCACTCAGTAGTGAAACAATGCCTCTTTAAAGTTAGTGCTAATTCTTAAATTTGACACAAGATGCTTCATTTTGAGGAAAGTATTATAAAAACAAAATAGAAAATTGCATCTTTGAAGTATATCTCCTTTTAGCTGTTTTCTTCATACACTATGAATTTTACTTAAGGAAATGAAAAATTAAGATTGGAGTGCAATCCATCCCTGACTATTTCTATAGCAATTGGAAAGTTTATACACAGATGCAAATTATATTTGACAAAATAGGAAGTAACATTTCATTGGAAGCTATGTTCTGCAAACAGCACATGCTTTCTTGGAGTTTTGACAGAAAACCATTTTTTTTTCCTATAAACATACAGATGTATTTAAGGGATAATTAGCAGAAAATTATGTACCTAAGTTTCTTGTTTAAGTATAATTTCAAATTCTTGGAAGCTGGATTTGATAATTAAGATTAATTAATTTCTTAGTAAGGGATGCTTTACCCTAAGAAACACTAACTAATGAATATAACTTGTAGACTTGAGAGGTAAACCTTCAATGTGAAGCTCCGTTAGCACATTCCAAATTATTTAGACGGAGGTTTCTAGTCAGAATAGTCTTTGAAAACTGCATTTCAAATGGTAGTTGACAATACAGCTTAAGATATCCCGCTTAGGAACATACATAGCAGGGAGGAGGTGCAATAAAGGGGCAAGAACACCGTGTGTGGGATCAGGAGACCTGGTCCTGCTATTAAATGCCTTTCTTTTTCTCACCTGTAAAAATGAATGAATTGATCTCTAAGGTTCCCTGGAGCTCTAAGTTCTATGACTACACAGCAGATAGTATAGAAATAATAATAGTTGATACCTCTTTTGGCTGTAAGTTGAAGAGGAAACTAAAAAAGGGTTGTAAATTTTAAAACTTTGATTTTACCATGAGTGCTTCTTATTATAATTATTAGGTTCTTGCAGTACTGGAGTTGATTACATAAAACTGATTACTTGGGTTTAATTAATTAATTCCACAGCAAGAGATAATAAGAATTATCCCCACTCAGATAAATGAAAGTGGGTAAAGAAAATAGGGCCAAAGATAAAAAATAAATTATCAATTGTAAGAGAGATTTTTTGATGAACCAACTTCATAAATAAAGCTGCTATTCTTTGACTTGATTTGAACCTGGGGAAGCTAATGGTAGAAAGGATCTGCGTCATTGTCTGCTGTGAAAAATGGACAAATTTGGATTTGTTTTTTAATGTGCTTGTTTAAGAGTCTGGTCATGATTTGTTTTGGGTGGAATTTTGTGACTTGAATAGAGTTGATGGTTATTGTACTTGGTGTAATTATAAATTGAACAATTCCTTCTTATAGGGAATACAAGAAAGTGTTTAGAGTATTTGTTTTGATGTGTACAACTTGTTCCTCTCTTTCCAGAATTAAAGACCTTACTCTTCCTGCAAAAACTTTTAATACTCTGTACTAATCTCTACTATTGTCTTTCTTCCTCTCTTATTATATTGCTCCAGCTGTGATGTCTCTCATCCTGTCACTTCTTTGGCACTGAGATACAATCTTTCTCTTAGAATAATTTGTTAGCCTTCTTATAAATTGTGTACCTGAACTCATATATGATTGGAGCCTCTTAATATGTAAAGCACTTGAAATGGAATGACCCTGGGTAAGAGTTCCCATCATGTCCCCTTACTGCATGTGGAGGTCTTATTTTTAAGCTCTTTGCAGTCTCTTTTATTAGGTTCCCTGGGTATAGTGAATGCTTAATAAATAATGATGAAGGTTTTGAAATGTCACTTTACAAATGAGAAGTCGGAAGGGTTTTGGCCTATGTGGATTAACAAGTCATCCAGTGAAGCAACCTTTATCCTCAGGATTCTCACAGAGTCTATCTAGTTAAACCTGAGATTTAACATCAGGTGAGTAGATAAAATGAGTCTATCTATCCAGCACAGGATGGGAGAAATAGATCTTTTCAAAAACAGTACAAGTGTTCATAAATGAAGGCATTGTAATTGTTAGTGGCAGGAAATAGAAATATGGGCATTATGATACCACTATGGAATGTTCATAATAAGTGTTAGTAATTATTTGATTTACAAAACAAAAGGGGGAGTGGATATTGTGATGTTATTTAAGGATAACTCTGTCATGTGAGAAGTGGAAGCAGGGGAAAATAAACTGCAGGGCATTTTGCATTAAGTATAAAATTAAAATTAAAAAAAATATGGGCCAGGCGCGATGGCTCATGCCTGTAATCCCAGCACTTTGGGAGGCCGAGGCGGGCAGATCACGAGATCAGGAGATCGAGACCATCCTGACGAACACGGGGAAACCCCGTCTCTACTAAAAAATACAAAAAATTAGCTGGGAGTGGTGGCGGGCGCCTGTAGTCCCAGCTACTCGGGAGGCTAAGGCAGGAGAATGGCATGAACCCGGGAGGCGGAGCTTGCAGTGAGCCGAGATGGCGCCACCACACTGTAGCCTTGGTGACAGGGCGAGACTCCGTCTCAAAAAAAAAAAAAAAAAAAAAAAAAGAATTCCCTATCTCTAAGGAAATCTGCTCTATACCATAATATAAGAGACAAGGGGCAGAAATATGTGCATGATCTTCAAAAAGAGCTTATAGCATATGGGGTCAGTTACGGATGGAGTGCTGTTGGGAAAAGAATAAAATAAACAGATGTCTTTATTTCAAGTTTGATTAAGATAATTACCACCAAGATAATGGAGTGCAATGGGGATTCTAAGGAGGAAGAGATTATATGTAGAGAGGGGGATTAGAAAAAAACTTTGCAGAGGATTTACAAGATGAATACATTTTAACAGATGAAAATAGAGGTAGAGATGGCAGTATTTTCAATAAAGGAACCAGCTCTCTTTCATTCATTTGAAAACAAATTGTTAAGCATCTACCCTGCCTGAGGTAAAAAGTGGCTAAAATAAATAAACATGCTTTCTGAATTCCAGAAACTTTCTTTTCCTTTTTTTTTTTTTTTTTAAATTTTACTTTAAGTTCCAGGATGCACGTGCAGAATGTGCAGGTTTGTTACATAGGTATACCTGTGCCATGGTGGTTTGCTTTATCTATCAATCCATCATCTAGATTTTAAGCCCTGCATGCATTATCTATTTGTCCTAATGCTCTCCCTTCCCTTGCCCCCAACCTGCCGACTGGCCCCAGTGTGTGTTGTTCCCCTCCCTGTGTCCGTGTGTTCTCATTGTTCAACTCCCACTTACAGCGATAGTTGGTTTTCTGTTCCTCTGTTAGTTTGCTGAGGATGATGGCTTCTAGCTTCATCCATGTCCCTGCAAAGGACATGATCTCATTCCGTTTTATGGCTGCATAATATTCCATGTTGTATATGTACCACATTTCTTTATGCAGTCTATCATTGATAGGCATTTAAGTTGGTTCCAAACAAATGGAAAAAAATTCCATTTCCATTTGTTTGTGTCCTCTCTTATTCCCTTGAGCAGTGGTTTGTGGTTCTCCTTGAAAGGTCCTTCACATCCCTTGTTAACTGTATTCCTAGGTATTTTATTCTCTTCGTAGCAATTGTGAATGGGAGTTCATTCATGATTTGGCTCTCTGTTTGTCTGTTATTGGTGTATAGGAATGCTTGTAATTTTCACACACTGATTTTGTATCCTGAGACTTTGCTGAAGTTGCTCATCAGCTTAAGGAGTTTTTGGATTGAGACGATGGGGTTTTCTAAATATAGAATCCTGTTGTCTGCAAACAGAGACAATTTGACTTCCTCTCTTCCTATTTGAAACTCTTTCTTTCTTTCTCTTGCCTGATTGCCCTGGCCAGAACTTCCAATACTATGTTGAATAGGAGTGGTGAGAGAGGGCATCCTTGTCTTGTGCTGGTTTTCAAAGGGAATGCTTCCAGTTTTTGCCCATTCAGTATAATATTGGTTGTTGGTTTGTCATAAATAGCTCTTATTATTTTAAGATATGTTCCATCAATACCTAGTTTATTGAGAGTTTTTAACATGAAGGGCTGTTGAATTTTATTGAAGGCCTTTTCTGCATCTGTTGAGATGATCATGGGGTTTTTGTCATTGGTTCTGTTTATGTGATGGATTACATTTATTGATTTGCATATGTTAAACCAGCCTTCCATCCCAGGGATGAAGCTGACTTGAGCCTGGTGGATAAACTTTTTGATGTGCTGATGGATTCGGTTTGCCAGTATTTTATTGAGGATTTTCGCATCAATGTTCATCAGGGATATTGGCCTGAATTTTTCTTTTTTTTTGTTGTGTCTCTGCCTGGTTTTGGTATTGGGATGTTTCTGGCCTCATAAAAGGAGTTAGGGAGGAGTCCCTCCTTTTCCATTGTTTGGAAGTTTCAGAAGAAATTGTACCAGCTCTTCTTTGTATCTCTGGTAGAATTCAGCTGTGAATCCGTCTGGTCCTGGGCTTTTTTGATTGGTAGTCTATTAATTACTGCCTCCATTTCAGAACTTGTTATTGGTCTATTCAGGGATTCGACTTCTTCCTGGTTTAGTCTTGGAAGGGTATATATGTCCAGGAATGTATTCATTTTTTCTAGATTTTCTAATTTATTTACATAGGGGTGTTTATAGTATTCTCTGATGGTAGTCTGTATTTCTGTGGGGTCAGTGGTGATATCCCCTTTATCATCTTTTATTGTGTCTATTTGGTTCTTCTCTCTCTTCTTTTTTATTAGTCTGGCTAGTGGTCTATTTTGTTAATCTTTTCAAAAAACCAACTCCTCTGTTCATTGATTTTTTCAAGGGTTTTTCTTGTCTCTATCTCCTTCAGTTCTGATCTTAGTTATTTGTCTTCTGCTAGCTTTCAGATCTGTTTGCTCTTCCTTCTCTAGCTCTTTTAATTGTGATGTTAGGGTATTGATTTGAGATCTTTCTAGCTTTCTGATGTGGGCATTTAGTGCTATAAATTTGCCTTAACACTGCTTTACCTGGTCCCAGGGATTCTGGTACATTGTCTCTTCATTTTCACTGGTTTTAAAAATTCTTGATTTCTCCTTTAATTTCATTATTTATCCAGGAGTTATTCAGGAGAAGATTGCCAAATTTCTATGTGGTTGTGTGGTTTTGAGTGAGTTTTTTAATCCTGAATTCTAATCTGGTTGCACTGTGGTCTGAGAGACTGTTATGATTTCTATCCTTTTGCATTTGCTGAGGACTGTTTTACTTCCAAGTATGTGGTCAATTTTAGAATAAGTGCTATGTGGCACTGAGAAATTTGGTTGATTTGGTGTGGAGAATTCTGTAGATGTCTGTTAGGTCCACTTGATCCAGAACTGAGTTCAAGTCCTGAATATCCTTGTTAATTTTCTCCCTTGATCTGTCTAATATTGACAGTAGGGTGTTAAGGTCTCCCACTATTATTGTGTGGAAGTCTAAGTCTGTTTGTAGGTCTCTAAGAACTTATTTATGAATCTGGGTGCTCCTGTATTGGGGGGTGCATAAATATTTAGGATAGTTAGCTCTTCTTGTTGAATTGATCCCTTTATCAATATGTAATGCCCTTCTTTGTCTTTTTTGATCTTTGTTGGTTTAAAGTCTGTTTTGTGAGAGCCTAGGATTTCAACCCCTGCCTTTTTTTGCTTTCCATTTACTTGGTAAATATTCCTCCATCCCTTTATTTTGAGCTTATGTGTGTCTTTGCACGGAGATCGGTCTCCTAAATACAGCACACCAATGGGTCTTAACTCTTTATCCATTTTGCCAGTCTGTGTCTTTTAACTGGGGCATTTAGCCCACTTACATTTAAGATTAATATTGTTACGTGTGAATTTGATCCTGCCATCACAATGATAAATGAGGACTAGCCACTGCAAAAACACCAAAATATAAAGACCAATGACACTGTGAAGAAACTGCATCAACTAGTGTGCAAAATAACCAGATAGCATGATGATGACAGAAACTTTCAATCTAGGCAGATACACCCGATTGTCTTTCATGTTCCAAGAAATGTCCTGTCTGCTACTAGAGAGCTATGGTGTTATGGTGGTGTCACTTAGTAATCCCAGTGGCAAAAATCCTTCCAATTTTCACCAACAAATTCTTCATAAGATGATTGGGAAATTCTCAGGATTTTGTTTTTCTAATACGCTCTGACACACTAGTTTTCCTCACAACCAATTACATTGCATTGGAATAGAGGTAATGGGAAGGAGGCCTTTTAAGTGTAGACCATTTACAAAAGTGTGAGCCATATGGATGTTCATTCTCTTCTGACTTCTCTCTCTTCTCAGTTCTCCTTTTTTTTTTCCGTGGAGACCTTGTTTTCAGACCCATGGGGTCTGGTATCCTGCCATCTCTCAGGAAGTTTTAGTTTTTCTCACAAAAGAAGGTTTTAGCTGAACATTCTAGTGGTTTACAAATGCAAGACTCTGATATTCCTTCTATAATCAGGATGTGATGACTCCAAAGACAGGATGGAGGGGTGTTAGAAGGCTTCAGTCCTGTGTGTGAAGGTGTGACCTTTAATTACATTCACTTTTCCTCCCAGCTTCCTAGGAAGATAACATACTTTTTCAATCTCATCATCCTTTTTCTTCCCTTGAGAAAAACTAGTCTATTTTAATATATAAAAAGTATATTTCCCTTGTTGGTATGATTTTAGCCCTGCCCTTTGTGAAATAAGAGTCCTGTAAATATTGTGATGAGAGCATTGGACTCTTGGGTCTTTTTTATATTACAAAGAATCTCACCACTCCAGCTCTAATTGGTTCTTTCTTAGCCATCTGGGATAGGTGGTACCAGCTCTATTTAAGTGCTTTCTGATTCCAAATCTCTCCTAATAGAAGGGTATTTGTACTTGTGTGTATAAGTGCGTGTGATTATGGGGAGGTCAGCTTCTTTATGAAAACCGTAATATTGGGGAAGTATTAAAAGAAAGCTGGTGTGTCTTGGATTAGAAATGAACTTAATTATTAAAAGCCAAACTAGACATCTACTAAGAGGTTGTACAACATAAAATTATACAGTGTATGCATAGATTGCATAATATGGTTTCAGGGTAAAACCTAAGGGGTTAGTTAGCCATCACTTGTGAAAAGAAGTTCAGCTGCTGCCCAGGTTATAAATACATTTAATGCAAAAGAGTGTGGAGAGGAATTTTCCTGAAAAAGGAATTTTAAATGGTGTATCCTATATATAGTTCCACACCATTTTACTCCCCCGGGGAAGATGACATTTGTTTTAGGGAGGTAGATTTGAATAAATTTGCCTCTTTGGGCTGCTAATCAGTATGCAGAGTTTCAGCCAAGAAAAGCCAATTTCTCTCCTACAATTTTAACTCTCTTGGAAAGTGATGGGGTTTTTACTTCAATTGCTTAGGTAGCCCCCTTTCCCCTTTTGCCTGATGGTGAATAAATGCAAGCAATTCCTTATTAAAGGCACAGTCCTGTTATTTTTACCAGTGAGTTCCACAGCTAAGGGTGCTGGCTTTCTACCTGAGGTAAGGATGATGAGGTCTGATGCCACCCTGTGAATCTCTTGGCTCTCAGGTCTATCCACAGAGGTGCCTCTACTCTGCTCTGTCTCCATGACTTTTGTCAAGGGCTCCCCTTATTCTGCTATTGCTTTTCTGTCTCCAAGTGGCCTCTAAGACCACCTGCACATTTGGTGATTTGCTAGAAGGATTCACAGACTTCAATGTCTTACTTATAGTTAAGATTTACTATTGCAGTAGAGTAAGAATACATAGCAAGATCACTAAGGGAAAAAAGTAAAAACATATTTCTTAGGAAGCATCTGGGGAAATTCCTTTGCAGGCTTCCTGTGTTCCTTTCCTCCCATGAGGGGTCACACACAGCATATACCCTTCCTGTAGTAGTAAAAATGCAGACACACGTGTGCAATATGTCTGCCAAAGGAAGACTTTGTGACTCAACAAAGGTTTTCATGGGGGGCTGATCACAGAGGCACCTGTGCCCACCAAAATTCCAGGTTCTAATACAGGAAGCAGGTGTTCATCATAAAATATATTTGTACAAACAGTCTAAGCAAGCTGGCACAGCAGTCGAATCTTAGCACTTAGTAAATATTTCAGAAACCAGGCTCCCAGACACCAGCCAAGGGCCAACCTTGAAAGAAAGACCTTCTAAAGATAGTAGCCTCAGGGCAGCTATATTAGCTTTTTTTCCTGCAAATTTTCCCATTTCCTTTATGGTTGCTTTGGAGCAAAGTATCTAGATTTGAGTCCTGAAGACATATGTGATGTTTTCCCATTAACTTCCCTGGTTCTCAATTTCCTTTTCTGGACAATGGGTATAAAACCCAGCTGCCAGTGATTTGGCACAAACAATTTGGTTTAAAGCAATTTGGTAGGTTGGTTAGCATGACAATTTTATCTAAAAGGAATACCTTTCTAAGATTTTGTTGGAAAAGTTTATGCCAAAGTGCTTTGTAAACTACAAATTAAAATGCTCTACAAAATATTATTTATTGTTCCTAATCTGTTGGCTCCAAGCGTTGTAGACCATGGCCTCCTTTACGCACTTCCCAGCTCTTGTATGTGCTCCGGGCACTAGGATACTCTGGGTGGGACAGAGGTACTTCTGCAGAAATAATGTGATGTGATCTTTGTAGGGACATCAATGCCAGTTGTGCCTCACCTGTCTCACTTTAGAAATTACAAAGGAAGCATCTGATCTCAGTAATATACAGAGAAGTTAGATGCACAGATTCTAAATCCAGATAGCCTCAGCTTGAATCCCAATTTTTCCACTTACTGGCTTTATCTTGGGCAAATGACTTACTCTCTGGGTCTCAGCTTCTTTATCTGTAAGAGGAGACAAAAGCACCAATATCATGTGTTGTTCAGGAAATTAAATGACTGGCACCTGGGAAATGCCACATACATTTTTTCTATTTTTATGATTAACTTTATTGATATATTTGAAACATTGTGTTGTATAATAGAAAGAAAATGGATCTTTGAATCAGGTAGATGTGGATTTCAACACTGGCTCATTGCCTTATTATCTGTATAACTTTGGGAAAATTATTCAACCTCTTTGAACTCTTTTTTCCCTGGATAAGAAAATGGGGATAATATTTATCTGGCAGTGTTTGTATCACGAGTAAAGGCCTTGAGACTGGAAGTATCTTGGCATATTTGAAGAACAGTAAAAAGCTCAGGGTGGCAGGAAAGTGGTCAATGAAGGGAGAAGGATGGGGATCAGAGAGACAGGCAGGGACAGGTCAGTCGGGGCCTTGTTACTTAGGGAGAAACGTTGAATGTTCTTCTGAGTTGAGAGAAGTCTTTGCAGAATAAGCAGGAAAGATATATTCGGATTTACACTTAAAAATTAAATCCAGTAGCAGGGCATAGAGTAAGCAGGAAAGATATATTCTGATTTACACTTAAAAATTCAATCCAAAGCAGGGCATACCAGGGAGAGCAGGTATGCATCTCTTATATTTTATAATGTAGCTACTCAAAAATATAACATCTTATAAGGTACTTGTATTTGTGGCTCACATTATGTTTTGATTGGACATTACTAGTCTAGGATGTTTGTTAAAACAGAAAGTCATAATATTCCATTCACTGACTTTGTAACCACCCAAAGGGTTCACCTTGCCTGCTGCCTAAACAGAGCCAATTTATTTAGATTGCGTCTCTTTCAGAAGGTGAGACAAATGGTGATGGTGGCTAGCAGTGGGTGGTAGAAATTAAGACGCTAAAACTGTATGATTACAAATATATTAGTTTGACCGGTATTATTTACTTTAGCTGGTAATTATTACTAATACTGTTAGCATAAAATAACTTTCATTCACTGAGGGCAACACAAATGCAAGTTAACTTTTGCCAAACTAATATTTTTGAAGAAATCCTTTGGTATTTTTGAAAGGGAAATAATCATAAAGGAGAAATTTTATGAAGTGGCCTTATTTATTCTCCTCACAGCTATATGGGAGTGAGGCTTATTACTTTTGTGATTTCTCATATTTCCTCATTATAAAATCCCCAAACGACTCAGAAGAGGAATGAGTGTAAACATTTTGGGCATCATGTGTGCGGCGATGATTCTGAAAATGTTTCATCAACTTGTCTTGGCTGGTTATAGAGTTTTCCTTCAGGACGTCTGCATCCTGGCCCTCTAATGGGGTGTTGAATTTCCCCAGAGTAGGTGTGAAAGCTCAGCTGTCAGGGCGGTTATGGTGTTTTATGCAGGTTGTTCCTTACCCTCCTGTTTAGATGTTTTTCTTTTGTCAGCATTTGATTGGATTCTTTCATCTGTGATTCAATGTCTGTATTAAACTCTGTTTGCTTCTCTGCTCCTCCTCAAGACTTTATTATGTGGAAAAAAAAGCCTATGTCCTTTAGTGCTGATTTTCTGGTCTTTTAGGGAGGCAGTCTCTAGCAATCCTGCAAATAAAGAATATTTAGGGTTGATTAACATGTGCTGGATCACTGAAGAAAGAGTTGGCCAGAAAAATGGTTCATCATGTTTGCCATATAAGAATAAAGTTCAAGAGAACCTTCAAGCACCCAAACAGGTCACTTGGGTAATAATAGAAAATTACTCTTTAATGTCACATATTTACCTGAAGGCAGGAAACTGTGGAAGCACACAGGAAACTGTGGAAATACACATGCATGAACTTCACTTCAGAAAAGGCTTAGGGTGTGGTGGACTGAAATCATCTTTCTTTGTGAGACAACGAATTCCTTTCTAGTCAAAGGGAGAAGATGCAGAGCTTTTTCTTTTCTTTTTTTCTTTTCTTTGAGGGGGACTGCTGCAAACTAAAGCTTGGTTCTTGCTCTGCCAACTCCTTGAAATACATTTGGCAAGTCAGTTCTATGGGTCTCACTTGTAAAATAAAAATTTGGATCAAAAGATTTTTAAGTTCTCTCCCATCATAAATGACCCCTGAGATGGGCTGATGGTTTTTCTTTTACTATTTATATAAATATCTCCAGATTATCCTGAATTTAATTATTATTTTTTAAATAACTCACTCAAAGGATAATTTTTATCCATTGTTGACTTAAAATCTGTTAGAAGGCTTAAATGTTTTCTGTGTAGAAACTAATTTTAATGAACACTATAAAAGTGCTAGTTTGATATAATAAGACCATTTCCACATCTCCAGAGGTGGTCCTGAGTAATAATATTTTACTGAGTTATATTAAAATTTTCAAAGTAATCTTTAATATGAATGTTTTCACCAGATTATTTTGTTGTAAGAGTCAACAAATACAAGACTTTTGGAAATGTTTCTTTAAAACTACAACAGTGGCATCTGATAGGGCCTGTTTGCTGTTCACCAGTATTTTATAAACATCTAATTTTATCTACCCCCAAATTTGTAAGTATTGCTAATTTCTTTTTCAGAAGAGGCAACTGAAGCAGACAGTTGAAGCATTTTTCTTAAAATGTTGTTTTCAACTATTGAACTAAGTTCAACCCAATACAAATTTACTGTATATGGTGCCAAACATGGTGCTAGATGAAAGGCAGAAAAGAAGAACAAGATGGTCTTAGGACACAAGGGACTTCCAATGTGGAAGAAGTAGTTGAATATGCAGAATTCATCCTCCTGCTTCTGCTGTGTATAATTCATAACACCTATTTTATTACATATTTATTTTTTATTCTACATCTCTCTTTCCAATAGATTATGAACTTGATGAAAGCATAAAGCATGTGTTTTGTTGTTGTTGTTATTCACTCCTTTATATCTAAATCCTTGAACAATGCTGGTTACATAGTAGGCACTCAAAATATGTAAATTGAGTGAATAAATGAATTAATGAACCATGTATAGTATGGGGCATATTGAAAATTGATACAAAGATTTTCAAGGAAGACACTGTGGGACACAGTACAAAGAGAGATTAATTTTGACACATCTTGTAGAGTTCCTGAAGGTGGAGACATTTGAATTGGATTAAAAGAATGGGCAGGGTTTCATTTGGGTTTTTGAGAGTGTTCTTCCAGGAGGAGCAAATGAGAAAAGGAAAAGGCAGGTGTGAGAACGTGCAGGGCATATTGAGAGTAATTGTAATAGCAGTTAACCAGAAGTGAGCATTTTTTTTCTTCACTAGATGTTGTTCTTAGACTGTGTTATTTGCATTGTATCATTTGATCTTCAGAACCACATGGAGGAGTTGCTGGTTCATCATGTTCCTGATTGGGGAATCATAAGCTTGTATAAGGTGGAAAGTAGGTAGAAATAAAAATGTCAGTAGTAGTTTATATTTTGGAACATCTTTCATGCCAGAGTAAGGAAGGTGTACTTCTTCCTGAAGAACATGAAGAACCATTTGTATTAAGACTGACTTCTTCAAATCTATGGCTGAGGAAAATGAGTTTGATGTTGGGGGTGATGGATAACCTAGAAGTTGAAGAAACTGCTAGCAGGTAGATCTGTTTCACTAATTCAGGAAAGATAATGAAGATGTGACTACTCCAAAAAAGATGGAAAGGAGAGAGGCGGTATTTGAGGCACATTGCGGCCTTAGAATTAACAGAAGGATAAGAAAACAACCATAACTCTGAGATTTTAACACTGAGTGATCCCTGGATGCTATCAGAATTGGAAATACCTGAGAATAATCAGATTTTTTAACAAATTTAACTTTATTTTTGGCCATTTTGGATATGACATGCCTTTCAGATTGTTGAGATGATGCTAGAATCACCAGGTATTGAAACTACTGAAGTTATACAGGATTACAAAAGTTATTTCATCATTTAGTGCCTTCATTTTACATCTGAAGAAACTAAAGCCCAGAAGGTAAGTGTTCTCATCTATAATTACATGTTTAGTCAGTGTCAGAGGCAGACATTTGAAAGTATAGATTTGGAACTTAAGAAAGGATTTAGAAATATGAATGTTGATATACAATATAAATGAGTCTTGAATCCTGACAAGTGTTACAGAGACTGGCATGTTATTTCTCAGATATTACAGAGTACATAACAATATTTGATTAAAAAGACTTCCTGCCGTGCTTATAGGGGCAGAGTTGAAGAGATGGGGCTAGGAAAGTGTTTGCCCAATATAATTTTAGCAAGAATAAAAAAGGAAAACCAACAATTCAAACTTCATAACAGCATCCCATTTTGTATACTAGCAGTTGTAATTTTGTGCTTAAGTGAAATTCTAATGTAATGAAGCAATTTCGATGTTCTGTATGGTTCATTAAAGCATAATTCTACTACTTCTATGAATCCTTGTGCTATTGCCCAAAGCCAGTTAATTTTTGTGGAAACGCAATCCTCACTGATGTTTCTTAGAGGTACTTTGTATTACATAAGGCAAGACATTTAACAAGTCAAATAAACTGTTAAATACAATACAATTTCAGTTCAACACAGTTGTTTAAGATGCTTCTGTTAGAACTCTGTCCGATTCCATGCTCTGCCCTGCATACAAAGAAATGTTCTCTTTAGCTCCCCTTGCCTTTATTAAGCAGAATCTCTCTTTGGAAGTGTGGGGTCATCTAGAAAAATGGTTCCTGGGTGGAAATAGCCAATCAGCAGCCCTGAAAATACGTAGGTAATAGTTGTCAGAGCAGGGCAAAAAGGCATTTTACTTCCCAACACTTGAACACTGATGGTAGGCCCATGAATCATGACTGAACATTAAAACTTATACCTTCTATTGAATTACATGTTTTTATCCATTGATCAACCTCTCTTCATAACCTACTCCCACCCATACACCCGTCTCAGCCTCTAGTAGTGTTATCCTAATCTCTACATCCAAGAGATCAACTTTTTAGCTCCCACATATTAGTAAGAACATTCAATATTAGTCTTTCTGTGCCTGACTTATTTCTCTTAACTTATTTCTCTTAACATGACCTCCCGGTTTCATCCATGTTGCTGCAAATAACATGATTTGATTCTTTTTATGACTGAATCCATTGTGTATACATACACCACATTTTCTTTATCCATTTATCAGTTGATGGACACTTAGGTTGATTCCATCTTTGCTATTGTGAATAGTGCTACAAGAAACATGTTAGTTGTAAATACCCAGTAGTGGGATTGCTGAATCATATGTTAGTTCTAATTTTTTTTTCTTTTTTTTTTGGTGACAGGATTCCTGTCACCCAGGCTGGACTGCAGTGGCACAGTTAGGGCTAACTGCAGGCTTGACCTCCTGGGCTCAAGCGATCCTTGCCCCTCAGCCTCCCAAGCAGCCAAGACTATAAGTGCATGACACCACGCCTGGCTAATATTTGTAGAGACAGGGTTCAATTCTGTTGCCCAGGCTGGTCTCAAACTCCTGGGCTCAGGTAATCATCATGCCTTGGCCTCCCAAAATGCTGAGATTACAGGCATGAGTCACTGTGCCTGGCCTATGTTTAGTTTTTTGAGAAATCTCTATACTGTTTCCCATAGTGGCTGTATTAATTTACATTTCCATCAAAAGTATATAGATGTTTCCTTTTCTTTGCATCTCACCAGGATCTATTACTTTTGTTTGTTTGTTTGTTTGTTGTTTTGAGACCGAGTCTCGCTGTGTCACCAAGCTGGAGTGCAGTGGCGTGAACTCGGCTCTATGCAACCTCCACCTCCCAGGTTCAAGCTCTCCTGCCTCAGCCTCCTGAGTAGGCTGGGACTACAGGCACACACCACCATGCCTGGCTAATTTTTCTATTTTTAATAGAGATGGGATTTCACCATGTTGGCCAGGATGGTCTTGATCTCTTGACCCCATGATCCGCCTGCCTCAAGTGCTGGGATTACAGGCAGGGTAAGAGGATATCTCATTGTGGTTTTGATTTGCATTTCCCTGATGAGTAGTGATGTTGAGCATTTTTAAATATACCTTTACCCATTTGCATGTCATGTTTTGAGAAATATCTATTCAGTAGTCCTTTGCCTACCTTTTTTTTCTTTTTTATTATGCTTTAAGTTCTAGGGTACATGTGCAGAATGTGCAGTTTTGTTACATAGGTATACTTTGCCTACTTTTTAATGGGATTATTTGTTTTTTCTCAATGAGTTGAGTTCTTTGTATATTCTGTATATCAGTCCCTTGTAGATTAATAGTTTACAAATATTTTCTTCCATTCAGCAGGTTTTCTCTTCACTCTGTTCATTGTTTCCTTTGCTGTGCAGAAACTTATGTCTCTTTCTGTTTTTGTTTTCTGTGCTTTTGAGGTCTTGTCCATAAAATCTTTGCCTATAGCAATGTCCTGAAGTGTTTTTCCTGTTTTCTTCTAGTAGTATTGTAGTTTCTGATCTTATGTTTAAGTCTTTACTCTATCTTGAGTTGATTTTTGTATATTGTGAGAGATCAGAGTTCAGTTTTTTCTTCTGCAAATTAATATCCATTTTTCCCACACCATTTATTGATGAAGGTGTCTTTCATCAATGTCTATTTTTGGTGCCTTTCTCAAAAATCAGTTGGCTGTAAATTCGTGAATTTATTTCTGGTGCTCTATTTTGTTTCATTGACCTATGTGTCTGTTTTTATACCAATACCATGTTGTTTCAGTTACTATAGCCTTATAGTATATTTTGAAGTCAGCTAGTGTGATTCCTCCAGCTATTTTTTTTTTTTTTTTTTTTTTACTTAGTGTTGCTTTGGTTATTCTCGCTCTTTTTTGGTTTTATACAAATTTTAGAATTTGTTTTTACTTCTGTGAAAAGTGACATTGATATTTTAATAGGTATTGTATTCAATCTTAGGTTGCTCTGGGTAATATGGTCACTTTAATGATTCTAATTCTTCAAATCTATGAGTATAGGCTGTGTTTTATACTTCTTGAGTCCTCTTCAATTTCTTTCATGAGAATTTTGCAGTTTTTCTTGGAGAGATCTTTCACTTCCTTGTTTAAATTTGTTTGTAGATGTAAATATTTTTTGTAGCTACTTTAAATGGGATTGTTTTCTTGATTTCTTTCTCAGCTAGTTCATTATTGGTGTACTTATTTTGGTACATTGATTTTTGTATCTTGCAACTATATTGAATTTGTCAGATGTAAGAGTTTTTTAGTGGAATCTTTAGGTTTTCCTACTATAAGATCATATCATCAGCAAAGAGTGACAATTTGACTTGCTCTTTTCCAATCTGGATGTTTTTTATTTTTCTCTTGCTTGATTGCTCTGACTAGGACTTCCAGTAGCATGTCGAATAGAAGTGGTGAAAGTGAGTATTCTTGTCTTGTTCCAGTTCTTAGAGGACAGGCTTTCAGCTTTTCCCCATTCAGTAGGATGTCAGCTATAGATTTGCCATATATTGTATTTATTATGCTGAGGTATGTTCCTTCTATGCCTAGTTTGTTGAGAGTTTTAATTATGAGGGAGCGTCCAATTTTAACAAATGCTTTTCTGTATCTATTGAGATAATCATATGGTATTTCTTCTTCATTCTACTGATGCAGTGTATTACATTTGTTGATTTGCATTTGTTGAATCATCTTTTCATCACTGGGATAGAGTCCACTTGATCATGGTGTATTACTTTCTTGATGTGGTCTTGGAATTGGTTTGCTAGTATTTTGTTGAGAATTTTTGCATCTGTGTCCATCAAGAATATTGGCCTGTAGTTTTCTTTTGTTGTGTCCTTGTCTGGTTTTGCTATTAGGGTAATGCTGGCTTGAGAGAATGAGTTAGGGAGACTTTCTTCCTTTTATTTATTATTATTATTATTTTTGGAATAGTTTGAAGGAAATTGATGTTAGTTCTTCTTTGAAAGTTTGGTATAATTCAGCAGCGAAGCCATCTGGGTCTGAACTTTTCTTTTTTGGGACTTTTTATTTCTGATTCAATACCATTATTAGTTATTTGTCTGTTCAGATTTTCTATATTTTTGTGATTCAGTTTTGGTAGGTTGTATGTCTCCAGGAATTTATCAATTTCCTGTAGATTTTCCAGTGTGTTAGTATATATTGGCTCACAATAGTCTCTGATGATCTCTTGCATTTCTGTGGTATCAGTTGTAATGTCGCCTTTTCCTTTCTGATTTTGTTTATTGGGGTTTTATTTTTTTTTCTTGGTTAGTCTAGCAGCAAGTGGTTTATCTATCTACAATTTTGTCTATCTTTCAAAAAAACCAACTTTTTGTTTCATTGAATTTTTGAGTTTTTTTTAAGTCTCTATTTCATTTATTTCTGCTCTGATATTTATTATTATTTCTTCCTCCTTCTACTAATTTTGTGTTTTATTTATTCTTACTTTTCTAGTCCCTAAGGTGCATCACTATGTATTTTGAATCTTTTTAATTTTTTGATTTAGGCATTTCTTGCTGTAAACGTCCCTCTTAACACTGCTTTTGCTGTATCCCATACATTTTGTTAGGTTATGTTTTTACTTATTGATTTGTTTCAAGAAATTTTTTGATTTCCTCCTTAATTCTTCCTTGACCCAATGATCATTCAGGAGCATATTGTTTAATTTTTCTGTATTTGTTCAGTTTCTAAAGTTCCTCTCATTATTGGTTGCTACTTTTATTTCATTGTTGTCTGAGAAGATACTTCATATTATTTTGATTTTTTAAAATTCGTTGAGACTTGTTTTGTTTTCTAATATACGATCTATCCTGGAGAGTGTTCCATTTGCTGATAAGAATGTGTATTCTATAGTTGTTTGATAAAATGTTCTGTAAATGTTTGTTAAGTCTATTTGGTCTAATATGCAGCTTAAAACCAATATTTTTAAGTTAATTTTTCTATCTAGGTGATCTGTCTAATGCTGAGAGTAGGGTGTTGAAGTCCCCAGTATTATTGTATTGGGGTCTATCTCTCTCTTTAGAGCTAATAATATTTGCTTCATATATTTGGGTGCTCCAGTGTTGGGTGTATATATGTTTAGAATTCTTATAACCTCTTGCTGAATTGATCCATTTATCATTATAAGATGAACTTCCTTGTCTCTTTTTTAAAAGTCTATTTTATCTGATATAAATATAGCTACTCCTGTTCACTTTTGGTTTTGATTTCCATTAACCATATTTTTCCATCCCTTTACTTTCAGCCAATAGGTGTCTTTATAGGTGAGGTGAATTTCTTGCAGAAAACATATAGTTGGATGATTTTTTAAAAAATTCAGCCTGTCTATATCTTTTCAGTAGAAAGTTTAATCAGTTTATTTTTAAGGTTATTATTGATATGCAAGGGCTTTTTCCTATCATTTTATTAATGGTTCCCATTTGTCTTCTATATTGTTTCTTTCTTTCTCTCTTATTATTTATTATTGTGGTTTGGTGATTTTCTGTAGTGGTAACATTGAGTCTTTTTTCTTTCTTTTTTGTGTGTTTGCTCTCCCAGTGCTTTTTATATTTTTGTGTTTTCATGATGGTTGATATCATTCTTTTGCTTTTGGGTATAAGACTTCCGTAAGCATTTTTGTTTTTTTTTGAGATGTTGTCTAACTTTGTCACCCAAGCTTGAGTGCAGTGGTGCAGTCATGGTTCACCACAACCTATGCCTCCAGGTTTCAAGGGATCCTCCTGTCTCAGCCTCCAGAGTAGCTGGGACTACAGGCATGCAACACCATGACCGGCTAATTTTTGTGTTTTTAGTAGAGATGGGATTTCACCATGTTGGCCAGGCTGGTCTTGAACTCCTAACATCAAGTGATCCTCCATTCCTGGCCTTCCAACGTGCTGGGATAACAGGCGTGAGCCACTGAACCCAGCCTCCCTTAAGCATTTCTTGTAGTCTAATCTAGTGGGTTATTCACTCAGTTTTACTTGTCTGGGAAGAACTTTATTTCTCCTTCCTTTATGAAGGGTAATTTTGCTGGGTATAGTATCCTTGCACAGCAGATTTTTTCTTTTAGCATTTTGAATATATCAATATATCACCTCATTTTCTCCAAGACTATAAAGATTCTGCTGAGAAATTTACTGTTAGTCTGATGGGAATTCCTTTATAAATAACTGGATACTTTTCTCTTTCTGATTTTAGAATTCATTCTTCGTCTTTGACTTCTAATAGTCTGACTATAGTATGTCATGCAGCAGGCCTTTTTGAATTCCATCTATTTGAAGATTTTTTGGCCTCCTTTATTTGGATGTCTAAATCTCTTGCTGGAGTTGGGATGTTTTCATTTATTTTTTGTTAGGTAGGTTTTTAACACTTTTATTTTCTTTTTGCTTTCTGGGAGACTGAAAATTTGAATATTTTGTCATTTTATGGTGTTCATATGTCATGTAGGCTTTGCTCATTCTTTTTTATTCTTTTTTTCCTTTATTTTTGTCTAACTGGGTTATTTCAAAGACTTGTCTTCAAGTTTTGACATTCCTTTTTCTGCTTGATCTAGTCTAGTGTTGATGGTTTTGAATGTATTTTGCATTTCAATCAATGAATTATTCAATCCATAATTTCTTTTGGTTCTTTTTTGATGATACCCATGTATTTGATAAATTTCTTATTTATATCTTGAATTGTTTTTCTGATTTCTTTGTGTTGTTTTCCAGTATTTTCTTGTGTCTCACTGAATTTTTAAAAATCAGTATTTTGAATTCTTTTTCTGGGATTTTGTAAATTTGTTTTTGATTGGGATCTGTTGCTGGAGGATTATTGTGTTCCTTTGATGGTATTATATTTTCTTGCTTTTTATTATTTCCCATGTTCTTCCGTTGATAATCTGTGCATCTGGTGTAACAATTGTTTCTGTAAATTTTTTGAATTTGATTTCATAAGCGAAGACTTTTTTCCTGAAGGTATATCTATGATGTTGGTTGGATAAGGCACTTTGGCTTTGATTTTGGGTCTGTGCAGTAGGGTTGGCTCTATATGCTTTCTTTGGTTGTAAACTCCATCAGTGCTGCCTATGATTCCCTAGGTGGCTTAGGTGCAGTTGTTTGTGGAGGCTATGGTGAGGTTTTGCTGGGGCCTGAGACACCAGGTAGGCCAGTCTTCAGTTCCCAGTGGTGGCAGCAGGGGGCTGAGCATGCCTGTCCTTGGGCCCCAGAGTGGCATATGTTGGTTATCAGCATTAGTGGGTCTAGACATGCTGATTCTTGGGCCTCTAGGTGGCTTGCTTAGGCCCCAGAAATGGCAGTGGTGGGGCACGTGGGTGGGCTGACTCTTTAGCTCCTGGCCAACAGGTGTGGCATGGGCAATGACATTAGCAGTCATGAGACAACCTTCTGGGACCCAAGCAGTCTGCACTGGTTTTGGCTGTGGCTGTGACAGGCTGGGTGGGCCAGTCAGTCCCCAGGTGGCACATATAGGTGGATACCAACTATGATGGCACTAGCAAGTTGAATGGGTCTGACCTCAGATCCCCAGAAGAGTGCTCAGGTGCCAATGATAGTGAATTGGTTGCACGACTCCAAACCCCTAGATAGCATGCTCTGGTACTGGAGACAATGGAGCCAGGCTAGGTGGTCCTGCCCTGAAGCCCTCCTGTGATATATGTAGGTAAAGGGGTTGTAAGCATGGGGAAGAGTAATCCCCAGACTGCTTGTGGAATGCTCCAGTGCCCTGCTTCTAGAGAGGGTAGGGTTTCTTTCAGCAGGAGCAGTTGTAGGTAGGCAACTTGGGCAGCATGTACTTTGCTCATATCTCAGCCCCATAGCAGCCTACAGTGGTGGCTGTTGTGGGTAGTTGAATTTGTCCCCAGGGCATGTGGAAAGTCACAGCTGCTTCTCTGCTAGTGGGGCAGAGTCACTGCTAGTGGGTCCCAACTCTGCCCGGGTAGCAGCTGCTGTGGGCAGGCAATGTTGATGGGGCTCCAGGGATATAGATATTACCTTGGGGCTCCAAGGTAATATAGTCTGGTGGAGGTTGGAGTCTCAAATGGTGCCCTGGTGCAGCTATTTAGGATTCGTGGGTTTGTGGGACTCAGCATGAGCTCCCTCTCTGGAGCAATGTCATTACATGGAGTCCAGGCAGCTCCCTGTTAGTTTTGGGGCCTGTGAGGGTTGAGGGGCTCTCTCATGGCTCAAATTGTAGTGGAAATGTGGACTGCTGGAGGTCTCTTTCTCACTTACCCTTCCTAACATTAGGAAGTCTCTCCAGGCTCTCCACCAATGCTGGTTGAGCAGGCTGCCTTGCTCGCCTCTCCTTTCCTGCTTTGGGTGCTTCCTGTCACTTCGGTGTTGAATTCCAGTGTTCTCTCTTAGATGATCTATTCATAGTGTGCTTATCCACTCACTATTTTGTTTCCCTTCCATGGAAGAGGTGAGTGTCAGATGCATCTAGTCAGCCATCTTGAAGGTCCTCATGAATTCTGAAGAAATTGAAATAATGATTTGGTAATATCTGTAAAAGAAAGAATTGTTGAATTCTGACATAATTATGCAAGTAAATGTAGACTTCCTTCTCAGAAGATTTTGAAGAGAATGGCAGACCAGTGTCTAGAATTGTATACATGTACCCTTGCTTAAGGATGACTTAAAGAGGCAATCATTCTCTAGATTTTTTAAATCCAAAATTAAATAATAGTTTTATAAAATAATTTTGTAGCTAATTTTATTATGTTTTTACTGAAATTCTGAATTGAAGTCTTTCTGGACTTTCCCTACATGAATAAATAAGTTTTAAAATTGTATAAAACTGCACTATAAAAACTTAATATACCCTATATATACTAGGGAATTGTTGCAAATGCTTATCTAGACTTTTAGTATGATAGAGTTTTCATATAACTCTATCAATTATACATTTGAAAGAAGTTTTATATTTTTAAAACAATGTTTCTCACATGATTTTGTTTGAGTTACATAGTAATGCTAGGATTTTCCCCAGGAAGACGGTGACTGTATCAGTTATCTATCACTGTACTATTGTTGGATAACAAGTAGTCACAACAGTTTCGTAGCAAATAACAATAGCCATTTCTGGCTCATGCATCTAGGGCCAGCAACTAGGCAGCTGTGCTGATTTTCACGGGGCTCCTCTTGCTCAACCCAGCTGGGTGTTGGTTGGCTGTGGCTGAGACTAGGATGAGACAAATTGGGTGACTGGGCTCTGCACCACATATTTGTCAACCTGTGGCAGGTCAGCCTGGGCATGTTCTCAGAGTGATGACAGGGTTGCTAGAGAGCACGCAGAAGCATGCTAGGTCTGTAGCCGCCTGGACTCAGAGTTGGCACATCATGGCTTCTGTGTCATTCCATTGGCAAAATCAGGTTGCATAGCTCTACTCAGAGGCATCTTGGAAAGGTATCACCAGGACAAATGGCTTGGATTCAGGAAGGAGTAAAGAATTTGGGTCAATTTTGCAGTCTATCACAGTGATCATAACTCCCTGGCTTCTCTTGTAGAGATGAGGCTCAAATAGGATAAGGAACTTTCTGTTAGAATAAAGTTTAAAAGAATCCCACACTTTAAAATTCTACTTCAAAAATTTTTCCTCTTTTTCTAGTTGTACTTTGAAGGATCCAGGCATCCAATGGACAAATAAGCCTGGTGTTCATTTTAATTTTAAATAACAAATATTGCCTTAGTAATTTGCCCATGTGAAAAGTATTTTCACATGCACTGAAATCACCTGAGATCATTCCTGTAACTTTCTGAGCTAATATTATTGTTGATATTATTTTATAAATGAGGAAATTGAGGATGATAAATGATGTGTGAGAGTTCTTGTTTAAGTCATTTTGATCCTCCGTATTTCACAAAAAGTAAAATAAGTACATTTATCTGCAAAGTGTTAGAAAATGAATGAAAGTATATGAAGGAGTTTTAACAATTCAGCCTTGGTGAACCTAGAAGACACAGTGTTGCATAGAAAATAACCTCAGTTGCAACATTTAGGCTAAATTCCTAGTTTAATCCACTCTTTTCTGACTATTTGAAATGAACTCTGGGAAATATTTTATTTTTTGCCAATGGCATTTATTATTATTTTTTGATGGCTCATAATGTGCCCCTTTCTTCAGAGTAAAAATTCTATTATGGTGATTGAACGCTTGCTTATCCAGACTGAGATGATATGAGAACACAAAAGATGAAATCTGCTGCCAATCTGAGATTTAAAAAAGGAAATTTTGAGGTGTAGAAGGTCCTGTACTTGTGTAGGGGCCAAAGAAAAAGTTCCCCTTTGCCCTCTGAAGTTCTTTAAAAATCAACTGACAAAAGGAAGATTCATAAGAAAATAAGCATATGAAATTTATTAATGTGCATGTTTGTGCATGGGAGCCATACAAAATATAAAAACTCAAAAAAAGGCCCAGATGGTTGATGATTTTATACCATTTTGAGGAATGGGGGCTTGGAGTGTGTCAAGAAAGGTTGTGAGAGGGAGAGAGGAGTAGAGACATGGCTAGCAAAGGCGGTCTTGTTATGTAGATGAAACCTCACAGATAACTGCTCTGAGAAAGAATAGATGGTAGCCTGTGGTCAGTTAATCTTTCCTAGATTTGGACAAGTGAGAGGCTTCAGAGAAAGCCTGGCTGTTTATTTTGCTAATGTAGACTTTTCTCTACATATGCAAATCTCCTCCACAAAAGGCAGCTTTGCAGGGTGATTCCTGTCTGCAGTCCCTCTGAATAGCTGTCTCAAAATATGTAAAACAATAATATTTTGTGGTGAAATACTTTTGATTTTCTTTACTGGTGAGGGCCATATTCATCTGAATGGAGTTTTTTTTTTTTTTTTTCTTAATCTCTTGTATCATTGGACACACAATTTAACATTTCTGACAGTGCCTATGGGTATGACAGTAAAGTAAAACTAGATAAAAATTTGAAGCAAATATGCCTAATAGACTGATTATTTTTCTCTTCTAGGTCTTGAGTTTAGGCATAATAACTTCTATAAATTTCAATGAATGGCATCAAAGAGTTAATGAGGTCATTTCCATAATTATTCATCTTCCTAAAGTGAAAAGAAGCAGGAAGCCACTTCAATTGTCAAAATTAACTGTGATATCAATCAAAAGCTCATAGATTTTGAGATAATTCTGTATTTAAAGTCAATTTAGTTTCCACAGGGGGACTCTAACCTGCCTAGGAGGCTTAATTAGGCTAACTGCCTGAAAAACAGCATAAAACAGATGGGTGGGTTCTCATTCAAAACCAGTTTTATGAGCATTCTCATAGCTCTTACAGAAAATGAATGAACTTTCTGATATCTTCAACTAAGCCTGTGTTTAGTAATTCCATAAGGGGAATGGAAGCGAGTTGGAAGGAATTGATCTTTTTAAAGTGGTCTTTATATTATGTTTTGCTGTTTTTATATCATGATTCCAGATACATCATGAACTCTGAGAGCCCAGGAGAGACAGAATATATTCAGGAGGTGTTTTTAAAGCTTCAGATCAAAACAGAGACTTTTAATATCCCAAGGGAATGCCACTTTGTCCTTGTACCTCCTGAAAAATTCAATAAATCAAATATTTATTAAGCATATTTTATATAAAGTTCTAGAGAATGCAGAGATAAATAAGATACAATTTTTATCCTCAGGAATCTTAATGTGAGTGATAGATACATACACAGTCAATTATAATAAATATTAGACTGTAGTGAACACTAAGGATATAAATAAACATAAATAAGAGCATAAAGTAAGGAGTGACTAATTCTGTCTGATGTGATCAGTGAGGGTTTCCCTGAACAGTCTCCTTTGTAGCAGTTGTGTTTTGTGGACACACTGCAGAAACAGGACAGACCAACCCAAAACATGGGTCGGAGGTCAAGACTAATGATGCCACACGCATACAGAGGGTATAAAACGGTTTATCACTTACATATCGAGGCTTTTTGGGAGAGCAGAGCAGGCTTTCTGAGCTATTCAGAATATGGCTTGTGACAGCAAGGACAAGAGACTAGCTTGGGGTTTTATGGTGGGGAGGGGATAGGGCCAGACTGAGGGTCCCTGAGCTTGTGCATGGTCAGGAACTTACTCGGTTTGGATTTCCTGCCAGCACCAAGGAGGGAGCACCCAGGCGCACTCATGAGCTTGCCCAGATGAGGGTCACAAGGGGAAGAGAGAGGGATGTGGCTTAAAAGCAGTTAGCAGTCAAACATCAAAATGTGAAGTCAGACTCTTCATTACATACAGGTTTCACTGGATTCTTTCTATCTGTATGAGCACTAAAAAAATCACCTCATCCTTTTTCTTTTTTTTTTTTTAACTTAAAAAGAAATGTTTAGAGAGCTGATACTGGTTATAAAACTGTTAGCTTCATCAGCTGTTGATATTACCAGCTTGTGTTTTTCTTGAGAATCCAGGCCAACTAAACTCACTTTGCCTTAATTCTGTCTTGCATGCCTGCATCTCCACCACTCTCTGCCCCCATCCTCCACATTGCCCCTTGTTATCACCGTTTATTCCCTAGGCATCTCTAGTCCATCAAGGAATCTTACTCACTGTCTGCTTCTTCATAGCACTTCTTGCCATTACACCAGAAAAATTTTACTATCACAACCATGACACATCTGACACCATAGCATAAAAACTTTCTGGCTGCCTGAGCTCCAAAAAACTTCTTCACCATGTCTCAGGAATCCACTTTCCAGTACTCACTTTGGAAGCCAATGCATGGAGTTTGGCATGCATTCTGAGATCTTAAGCCCTAGTACTTTAAACTCTAGCATAACCCCTTGTCACACAAATCGTCTTGAGTCTCTCCATTTTGGGAAGTCTGCTGTTTGGCCTCTTTACTTGTTCCTTTTCTCTCCATCAGACATTCCCCTATGGTTCCACTCTCTTCTACTCTAGCTTACACTCTCTGCTCATCCTTTTCCTCAATTAATTTTTTGCCTAAGTAACATTAGACTACCTATTGAGAACCAACCATTGTTTAGACACTAGAAATATTGTATAGGAAATAAATTTAGCTTTCATTTTGGAGTAAATATTTTAGGGGAGGACAGACAAAAAGCAAATAAATAAGCAGATTTTTATAAGCACATGTCAGGATGTGGTAAGAGCTACGGAAAAATATCAAGCAAGTTAAGAGTGCTGCAGAGTATAGGAACAAGGGAATTGTTACTTTATATACTAGAAAAGTCATGGAAGGCCTCACTGACAAGATGATATTTGTGCAGAGACTTGAAGAAAGATAGAGAAGGAGCCATGCAGATCTAGAGAAGTTCTTTCTAGGAGCAGAAAAGAGAATGTACAAAATCTCAGAGGCTGAAATGTGCTTGGCATGTTTGAGAATAGCAAAGAAACCAGTGTGTCTGAAGCAGAGTGAACAACAGAGAGTATAAAACAAGAGGTATAATCGGGAGGATCTGGGGACAAGATAATGTAGGACCTTGTAGACAGTTTTAAGGTTTGAGTGGAGGAATGTCTGGATCCAGCTTAATCTTACGCCTGTTGGTATCATCTTCATCCTCAGTATTCTTGCCCTATTTTCTTTGACTTGTCTTTTATTTTCCTTAATGAGTCTTCCTCTAAACATATAAACATGTTCAAGCATTGTTCCCATATTAAATAAACAAACCACAAAATTGACTTAGTTACTTCCTGATCTTTCTCCTCCTGTTGATAACTAAACGTCTCAAAATAGTAACAGTAATTTACAATCTCATTCACACTTATATACCTCTTATTCATTCTTCAATCCATATAATCATATTCTACAAACTGAACCTACTGTTATCAAGGTTGTTGCTAAATTTAAAGGACATATTCTAGTACCAATTTTAATTTATTCTCTCTTTCTCTGGGAATGAATCATTGACCACTCTCTTTTTAACATTCTTCTCTATTGGTTTTCAAGGCATTACATGCTCCCTAGGGTTCCATTTTTGGAACTTTTCTGTCCTACACATTCTCTTCTCACAATGCCATTCACTTTCATTGCTCCAATTGTCATCTATATGCTGATAACTCTTTAATATATATTTCTAGGCCAAGCTTCTTTTTAAAAATTTAGTTCCAGCCCGTATATCAGAGTTCTTACTACCTCCACTTGAATGTCTCAAAGTTACTTGAAACTCATTGTGTCCATAATTTATCTTCTTGTCCCCCAGAAGGTACTCCTCTTTTTTCCCATGTGGTTCCCAAGTTAGTGATGAAGCCAAGAGTCAATCAAAGTTTTCAAACTAAACTTTGTTTCAGCCCCTTGCTCTGTTGGGCACTAAGTTCTGATGATTCTACATATACTGATCCAGTCACTTCCCTGATTAAGCTCCCCTAGTTAAATTCTATTTGTCCTTGTAAAGTCCTACCAGTTGTCATCCCATCAGGGAAATTATTCCTTAGCCCCTGGATCCCTGTCCTAGGCTAGATTAAACAGCCTTCTTACCTGCTTCCATCACTCCATTTCCACAGCTCTTTAAAGTACTTTATAAGTTTCTCGGTAATCATCTTGACACATGTATGTCTCTGAAGATTGTAAGCAGCTTGAGGGCAAAGATTACGTCTTTCTCATTTTCATGTCTGTAGTGTTTCTTACAGTGACTGACATACTGTAGATTCTGAATAGATATTTGTTACACGAATAGGGCTGGTGGTTGACGTTAGATAAACCATGAGTAGGATTTCATAAGGTAGAGAACAATGTATTAATCAGAATTCTAATGGTATCAAGTTACAGACACTCAATTTTTATTAACATGCTAAGAGGATACTGGGTAACTCACAGAATGGAGGTGGCTATATCCACACTTCAGTAAGGCAATAACCAGGGCAGCTGTGGGACCTGAGGACTGGAAACAGGGGCTTGAATACAATAAGGCTGTTTTTATTATCTACCATTTTTCCCAGTGTGTTGGCTTTATCCTCTCAGCCAGGCTTTCCCCGGGTGGCTAAAACCATGAATGCCTGGAGTTTCTGGATAAACATATGTCAATTACTGGACCGATGAATGAAACCAGTGTGACAAAACATGATACTTAGCTCAGCTTGGCGCTTAGTTCCACTCCTAGACTAAGAGTGGGACTTGTGAATTTGGATTTGATTGGAAGAAGGCAGGCAGTTCCCAATTAGATTATATGATTGAAGTGGAAAAAAGGGAGAGCTGTTCCTCAAAATAGGGAGACTGATGGTATCAGATGAAGAAAAGAGTCTAGGCAGACATAATATATACCTACTAAAGCTAGTAATATTAACTAATGTTCCTTAGTATTTATTTATTTATTTTAAACAGGCCCTGTGCTAAGCACTTTACGTGAATTTTCTCACTGAATTCCTCACAACAACTCTATTAGGTGGGTGTTTCAGTTGAATTCTGTCACCTACAATAACATAATGCCCAACTAAAAGTGGCTTATTTAGGGTTTTATTTTGTTCACATAACCACAAATACAGAGCAAGAGAGGTGATTCCAGTATTGGTTCAACTGCTCAAAGGTGTCCGGGCTCTTAGTTGGCTTCTATGTAGTTTTGTTAGATTTCCACTCATGATCACAGTAGTTGCTGTAGCTTTGAGCTCACATATTCACATGTCACGTTAAAATGTAAGAAAGGAATGGAGGCTTCTCTTTGTGCATCTCTTTTAGGAAGGAGAAAATCTTAACAAGAAATATCCCATAACCCTTTCCTCAGGAGTGACAGATTAGGACGACTTATGTACTTTATCAAGCAAGTGAAGATGAGAAAGCAAGTCTGACGTTTTTGGCTTCATAGTGGGATTGCCTCTTTTCTTGCAAAGTAGGCAATGGTAGAATGGTGTTGGAAGGCAATAAATGTTTTTGCCACAGTGTATGATATTTGGTTGGAATGTTTTAGTGAAAGAAACAACATTTGACTAGCAATAATTTAAGCCACAAGGATAGTTCTTGTTAGTATAACAGGAAGTCTGGAGTTAGGCAGTCTCCATATTGTTTCAGTGACTGGCTCAGTAACATTACCGAGGACACGATTCTCTGTTTCTGCCCCACTGTCTGCAGTGTTGGCGATATTGCTCCTTCTGATCACATAGCTGCTGATAATCCAGAAATTATCTCTGCACATAACAGTTTTACATTCAGCAAGGAAATAGAGTGGAAAAAGTCTTTGTTCTTCAGCCTCTCTGTCTTGCAAGGAAGGAAAATATTTCTCAAAATTTCCAGCGTGGCTGCCATATATTTCATTGGCTACCTTGCATTTCATTTCAGATTTGGGTGACATGCCCTCCCACAGACCTATTCTTGACAAGTGGGAATTGCCTGATGTGACTGGTGTGGATTAAATGTGTAGAAGTAGTATAAACAAAGGTAAGAATGCATGCAAATGAGAGTCTTGCACATCCATGTGGTTGAAGCCTAGGATAGGTGGAGGTTAGAAGTGAAATGAGGGGTGCTGAATATTTGTCTCCTCTACAGAATCCTTTCTAAAATAATTTCCTGGTCATTGGGTATTCAGACACAATAGCTCACAATTGTTTTTACTTTTTGGCCAACATTTCATTTAGCACAGTAAATACATTAATAATAATAAACAATAAATATTAGTTATGTATTAGGGATTATGCTAAGCAGTATAGATACAATGATGAATCTAACCAGTTCTTGACCTCAAGAAACTGATATTCAAGGTATTAAAAAGAATGTATATATCTGATTTTCCATGTATTTGAGTTCATGTTCTTTCTGCAACTTGTGTTTTTTCCCTAGATTTATTATAGGAAAGTTTATAAGTGTTTAGGGATATTTGATAATTTTTCTTATTACAAACTAAAAAAAGAGTTCGATCAAACAGGAATGACATTCCAGAACTTATTGTCTTTTCCATGCTGTCTAAAACTGTGTGAAAATTCAGTTGGTGGGTGGTAACACTAACTGGCATGCTCTTCAACAATCTCTAAGCAAGAAAGTATTAATTAGACATGAAATAGAGAGCATGCTCCTTTCATCCAACTAAGCAGGTGGCTGCTGCTGTTGAGGACAAAGATAAAGTTGGTGATAAAAGTTACATCTTGTCAAATCACTTTATTTTAAGGTAGAAACTTACAGATCTTATTTGTGAGTTGTAAAGCATTCAGTCAAAGATTCATCATGGACTCAATTTATGACTTTGCAAACTTTTCCTATTCCTGTTGTGTAATACATAAATATGTACAATATAATTTTATCAACCCTATCCTTTCAACCCTTCCAAACAGTGATGGCACTGAGATCTATAAAATAACCACTAAATTAAAGTTTCTAGTTGTATGTATAGGCATTGATCCATATTAATTTCATTTAATGACTTGCCAGTCCTTTTTTGATTTCTCCTCTTATCTCTTCTACCTTTCCTTCTGATTTTCTTTCCCCAGAGTTCCCTTCCACTGCCTATTTATATAAAGTACTTGCAGGACTCTATGGCCTTTTCTTTTTCCTTTGGGTTATCTGACATACTGTCATGATTTTAACTACCCTTTACAACAGGGGGCAGCCAGGTAATTAAATACGTGAAGTGGATTAGTGCAAGCAATAGGAAATGATAGGGCCTGTGGCAAACTGTAAATGCCTAAAGACATTTAATGTTATACCTAAGAAAAAAACTCCACAACAAACCCCACCATGCTGGGCCAAATAAAAGGCTCTGCCAGATGAATTCAGCCCTTAGCATCTGACTTGCTACTCCTATCTACCAAATCTGTGATCTCTAGTTGGCCCCTCCGCAGAGCTTCAATCCCACATAGCAAATTGTTTAGTGGCTATTGAATAAGTGAATGCTTCTCAAAATACACTGCATTTTCTTTGCTTTTTCTTTTTGTCTTGGATTGAGGGGAGTATATATACAAGTTTGCTACGTGAATATATTGTGTAATTCTGGGGTTTGGATTTCTATTGAACACATTACCCAAATAGTGAACATAGTAACCAATAAGTAGTTTTTCAATCCTTGTCCCTCTCCTTCCCTTCCCCCTTTTGGAATTCTGAGTTATCTATTGCCTCCATTTTTATGTACATATGCACCCATTGTTTAGCTACCACTTTTAAGTGAAAACATGTGGTATTTGATTATCTGTTTCTGTGGTAATTCACTTAGAATAATGACCTCCAGCTGCATCCATGTTGCTGCAAAGGACATGATTTCATTCTTTTTTATGGCTGCATAGTACTCTATGGTATGTATATACCACATTTTCTTTATTCCATTTACTATTGTTATATATAAAGTTTCAGTGCTGCAAAAGAAATAGCACTCGAATATAAAATTTTGTTTTAATTCTCAGCAAGGCAAGGTACTTCTATAGAAGGGTGCACCCTTACAGATGGAGCAATGATGAGCACACATTTGGACAAGGGAGGGGAAGGAGTTCTTATCCCTGATGCACATGGCCTCTGCTGCTGTGTCCTTTACCTGTTGGCTAGGGTTAAACTGCACGGGCTAAACTAATTCCGATTGGCTAATTTAAAGAGAGTGATGGGGTGAGTGGTTTGGCGGGAAAAACGGTTGTGACAGAGCAGGTAATGGAATGAGTCAGGGTGGAGCAGGTAATCAGAATGAGTCAGGGTGGAGTAGGTAATCGGAATGGGGGTGGAGCAAGTAATTAGAATGAGTCAGGGTGGAGCAGGTGATTGAAATGAGTCAGGGGGGAGCAGGTAATCGAAAAAGGTTGCTTTATGAGGAAGTTAAATTTAAAAGTAGAAGGCAAAGAAGTGAACATACTGACATATTGATTCTTTGAAAAGAAATTTAGAACTCATAGCTAACACTATTGAGGGGCACCTAGATTGATTCCATGATTTTGCTATTGTGAACAGTGCTGCAATAAATATACTAATACAGCTGTTTTTTTGGTAGAATGATTTCTTTCTTTTGGATAGATACTCAGTAGTGAGATTGCTGGGTCAAAATGGTAGTTCTGTTTTTCATTCTTTGAGAAATGCACATATTGCTTTTCACAGGGACTGAATTAATTTACATTAACTCAAAATGGATTAAAGGCTTAAATATAAAACTTCAAACTATAAAAATCCTAGAAGAAAACCTAGGAAAAACTCTTCTGGACATATAGGTCTAGGCAAAAAGTTCATGACTAAGACCTCAAAAGCAAATGCAAAAGAAACAAAAATTGACAATCAGGACTTAATTAAGCTAAAGAGCTTCTGCACAAGGAAAGAAACTATCAACAGAGTAAGCAGACAACCTACAGAATGGCATTATAGAAAACTTTGTTTACTATGCATCTGACAAGGGACTAACATCCAGAATCTATAAGGAATTTAAACAAATCAAAAAGAAAAAAAAATAACTGCATTAAAAAGTGGGCAAAGGACATGAGCAGACACTTCTCAAAAGAAGATGTGCAAGAGGCCAACAAATATATGAAAAATGTGCAACATCATTAATCATCAGAGAAATGCAAACTAAAACCACAATGAGATAACAATCTTGCACCAGTCAGAATGGCTATTATTGAAAGTAAAAAAATAACAGATGTTGGTAAGGATGTGGAGAAAAGGGAACATTTATACGCTGTTGGTGGGAATGTAAATTAGTTCAGCTACTGTAGAGAGCAGTTTGGAGGTTTCTCAAAGAACGCTTATCTACTGCATTTTAGAATCACCTGGGAGAATTTTTGAAAATACTGCTGCTCCAGGGGCTAGGATCTGAGCTTTAAATGTTTTTAAAAAGACTTCTTCCAGTGTTAAGAATCAATGCCAAAATAGATTTTGTTTCAACTCGTAAGCATTTCCTGTAATTAAAAAATGTAAAAGACAGATGATCAGAAACAAGAGGAGCATCTTAAAATTATAAATTTACAAATGCACAAGTATTTTGGTTTATCTTTTAGTTGTTAGTTTCTAGTTTTATTGCATTATGATGAAAATTATAGTTTTCTATGATTTGTATTTTTGGAAATTAGGTGTTTTGTGAGCAATCTTTGAAAGTTTTATTCCTACATAAATAATGTGCATTTTCTGCTTGATGAGAAAATATTTTCTTTATTTGATATTATGCTTATAAGTTAACTTTTTAAAATCTCCTTTCTCCTAATTTTTGTGTATTTGATGTAACCATACTTGGAGACATATGCAAAATCTACCTCTCTATATAAATTTTGACTTGTAAATTTTTCCTTATACTTCTAGAATTTTGTGTTATATTTTGATGTTAATTTTTTGGTATATAAAATATGTAACTCCTTGTAATTTTTTGGTGAATTGTTTCTCTTATCATTTCAAATAATTTCCAGACATTGAATTCTATTTTGTTACAGCTACATTTCTGGGGAGAAAGTAAAGATTTGTCTGAAGATTCATCTATCCATCTGGATTGCACATATTATCTATATAATCTTATATATAATCTTATGTATAATCTTATATATTATAATCTTATATATAATCTTATGTATAATCTTATATATTAAATCTTATGTACAATCTTATATATAATCTTATATATAGAGACAGATCTATCCTCACTATAGAGATATAGATATCTATATATCATCTATATTTATATCTATATCTTCTATATCATCTGTATGTATCTATATCACTTCATATGTATAACTCTCTCTATATATTTTTTATCTTATTTTTAATCTATCTGTGTCATTTAGTTTTAACTATCTCATTATCAATCTATGGCTGGATTAGTAGTTTGGAATCCAATGTGACAGTCTCTATTTTTGTGGCAGAATATAACCCATTCACATTTTTTATGTTTATTGATCACTGAATTTATTTCTGCCATCTTTTTTGGTGTCATCCTTTAGTTAAGCTTAATTTTCTCCTCCTTCTCTGCCTTTTATTATTATTTTCTTTCTACAGATTTATCTTAAATTTTAGGCAAAGCTATTTGTATTTTCACATTCCATGTGTTTAAAAAGCAAACATTTGGATCTATATTACTATTTTTATATGGTACATGTCTATATTCTTGAATCATGTCTTTTTCTTGTATTTAGTTTTTATTTTTGTGAAGTGCAATATTGAATACATTCTCAAGAAGTTATTTGAGAACAGTTTATATATCATAAATTTTCAAAGAATGTCTTTAATTTTTCCTGACAGTTGAGTTTAATGACATACTTCTGTTTTTTTTTAGTATCCGTTAATAAATATGGTACATATTATAGAAAAAATATGTTTTGTTTTTCTCAATTGTATTAACATGTTATCTGTATCTTTGGAATTCAGAAATTTCACCAAGATATGTCTAGGTAAGCTTCTTTATCTTAATTCCATACAGGATTCTTTCAATTTAAAGTTTAACGTCTTTTAGCTCAAGGAAATTTTCTTCAGGAGTCTATGTCTTCCCCTGTCTTCTCTCTGTCTTCTTCTGAAGCCCCTATTAGTCTTCTTGCAGACTTCTCAGATAGAATTCTCTACCTTTAATATTTTCTCACAAATTTTTCAACTTTTTATCTTTTGTGTATTGTGTTTGATGATTATCCCTGAGTTTGTTTTTCCAGCTCAAATAATTAATCTTCTACTTGGATTTGTTTTACTACTCTATCTATTGGTCTCTTGACTTTGGAAATAATATAAAAAATTTCCAAATATTCTCATTGCTTCTTTTTCATAGCAGCCTCTTCTCACTTTTCTCCTTCTCCTTATTTTCATCTTTCTCCTTCTTCTCTTCCTCCATTTACATCTTCTTTTGATTCTTTGTAATACTCTAAACCTCTGGCTGTATTAATTATACTTAAGTCCATTTAAGTAATTATACTTATTGAAGATTTTCTTTTTCAAAAATAATAAAGTTTCATCAGAAGTTACCTTTTCTCTTGGTAAGGTTTGGTATCACCTGTCTTTTTTCATCAAATATTTGGTGCTTCTTGTTTGTTTGTTTGTTTGTTTATATAGATGAGAATTATGCTCAGCACTAATAGTAGCTTGTGTATCTTTCTTAAGCCTGAGTGAGTATCTTACTGTTTTGGGAATAAAAGAAGATTTGAATGAGTAAGAAGGATGGGGAAATTCTTGTGGCATAGTCCATTTTCCTTCAGAGGTCACAAACCACTGACTAATGTGAAAATTGGAACATTTTATATGAAATTAGAGATTTTATTTTTTCTTGAAAAATATAAAAATTTAGCAAATAAGAGTCTGTGTCTTTGCATGGCAACAACTGGCTAGAACTAAGTCAAGTCTGCCCTTTCCATGTGCTCCTGTTTGTCATAGTCTCCATCACTCCCATCATTTAAACCCTACTCATTTCAGTGATGTTCATCTGTCAAGCCCTTTTGACATATGAGCTTTCAATCACTGCATTATGGCATAAAGGTAACATGTCTTCTAGAGATGAGGGTCGGTGTCAGTTACCAGGGCATTCGCTCTCCTGATACGATTTGGATGTTTTGTCCTCTCCAAGTCTCATGTTGAAATGTGACCTCCACTATTGGAGGTGGGCCTAGCAGGGGCTGTTTGGTTCATGGAGGTGGATCTCTCAAGAATGGCTTGATGCCCTCCCCATGGTAATGAGTGAGTTCTCCCCACCCAAATCTCATCTTGAATTTTAATCCACATAATCCCCATGTGTCAATGGAGGCACCCAAAGTGATTAGATCATAGGGGCAGCTTCCCTCATGCTGTTCTGGTGATAATGAGTGAGTTCTCACAAGATCTGATGGTTTTTTAAGTGTCTGGCATTTCCCTTGCTCACACTCACTTCTCCTTCCTGCCGCCTTGTGAGGAAGGTGCCTTGCTTCCCCTTTGCCTTTGCCATGATTGTAAGTTTCCCGAGGTCTACCCAGCCATGCTGAACTGTGAGTCAATTAAAACTTTTTCCTTTATATATTACCCAATCTCAGGCAGTTCTTTATAGCAGTATGAAAATGAACTAATACAGTTCTCAATCTGTTAGTTTATATGAGAGTTGGCTGTTTAAAGTCACCTGACACCTCCTCTTCTCCTCTTGCTCCCTTTTGCCATGTGATACACCACTTGCCCTTTGCCTTCTACCATGATTATAAGCTCCCTGAGACTTTACCAGAAGCCAAGCAGATGCTGATCCCATGCTTGTACAGCCTGCAGAACTGTGAGCCAAATAAACTTCTTTTCTTCATAAACTATGCAGCCTCAGGTGTATAAAGAAATTTAAAGCAATGTACAACAGAGTAACACATCCCCTCTCTAGCTCTATGTCCATTCAGAAGTCTCCTAAGTCAGACTTGCACTGTTATATAGGTGGTTTTATTTTATGGTCAACTGGAGTTAGTTTTTCGGAGAGCAGTGAATTAGTTTTTCCACAGGCTATTTCGTTAATTAAATGATATATCTGTTTCTTTTCTAGCCCACTACTTCTTCGATCTAGGGGCAAGTCTAGTGTGTTTGTGTGGGGGATTTATTCTTGTGGGAAATATTCCTTTTCCCAAAAAATTATTATAATAAAATACTAATACATAAAAATAATGGTCACCTATTACTATGTCAGAATTTACTATTTTTGAGGCACTAGGATTAGTATTTACTATTACAAATCATCCTAAGAGCTCCTTAGTTAAATCAAGTATTATCGTAACTTTTTAGGTTTGAGAAATAGAAAGCAAAAAGAGTGTGAGAAATTTGCTGAAGGTAACATAGTTAATGAGTAGAAAGGGTGGATTTTGAAGCCAGGTAATCTGCTACCACCATTTGGGCCCTTAACCGCTATACCAGATGCCTTTCTACTTAAGATGATCGCTTCCTTTGGGGTTTTCCGTATTTGCAATATAGCTTTCAGAAATTCTGCACTCTTTTCATCTTTGGATGTTATTTTCACTAGTTTTTCTAAAGTGCAGTTTGACTTTTTTTTGGTGGTGGGGGTATGTTGTCCCATTGGGAGAGGGCTTAATCCATCATACAAATTGTCTTGCTTCCTAACTAAACAGTGATCCTTGATGGTGAGGAGATTTATCTTATGTATCTTTAGATCCTTTACTGCAGCACATTGCCTGGCTGACAATGACATTCAACACATGTCTAGTTTGAAAATAACTGTTTTTGTTTCTTTTATCCTTTGAAATGTTATATATTGGGTAGATATTTATATATAATGTATTAAAGAAAATCTATTTAGACCATTTAAATCAAACCATATTTCTTGACATTTTTCATAATTGTTTCCCCTTGGTATATGGATTTTTTGAGCTTTAGTGCTCTCATTTAGGCTGTTTATTCAGTCATACATCCATTTGGGTATCCAATCATTTATTTTTTCTTTCATTTAACAAAAGTGCATTGATCAGTTGCTATACACAAAGCAATACTATTATTGGCCCTGATAAAAAGGAACTTACAAGCTAGTAATGGAAAGAAAATCTCTACACATATAATTATGTTACACATTAACATGTACAAAAAGACAACAGATAACAAGCTCTGGAAGTCCTTGAGAGAGAAGTCATGAAAAGGTACTGAAAAGCTAATATTAATTGGATGAATTTTGAAGGAGAGAAAAAATTGGAACATGTGGTGATAGCAACCTTATTGATTTCCTATAAAGTAATGCAATTTAAAGTGTATATATATATGTGTGTGTGTGTGTGTGTATATAAATGTGTTTGTGTGTGTCTGTGTGATATCCTAATAGCAGTACAAATCCTCTGTTTTTAACAATGATCATCAATTCAAAGAAATATCTTTGAGATATATGCAGTCCAAATTAACTTTGCATTCAACTTTACATTCTTAAAGAACTCAAGTGGATGTTAGATTTTCTGTTTTCTTTTCTTTCTTTTTTTTTTTGATAATGGAAAGGAACTCCTTCCCAGTGTGATAGTTTGATATTTTGACAGAAACCCAATCATTCTCCACTCAATATACTATAAAGGGCAGAAAGCCTGAAAAGTCAAAATCTACTTTAAGTTTTGGAACTTTTCAAAATTTATTTCAGCTATTTTTGATAAAATATAAGAGTGTGATTGAAAATGTTATGGGTAAAATTGAATACATAGCCTAAGTAATGAAATTCTTGAATTTTCCAAGTATCAGTGAGAGACCTATTGGGCTAAAACACTTGCACTGAAAGGACGTCATCTTTGAAAGGTGTTCAACACAATTTATCTTGAATTATGAGTAATATGCTTTGATTTACCTCTTCAGAGATCTGTTTGCAGTGTGAGACTGAACACAGCTTTGATTCTTTGGAGGAGCTATCCACGAGGGCAAAATTAATGAACGTCACATTCTCAACAGTCAGTCCTGGGATAGAGACATACAAGAAACCAGGAGAAGAACTTTGTGCTGGTGTAGAACAGAACTATAACATGCTTCTGGGTGTGGCAGCTTATTTCTCTCATCTGATTTGGAAAGGAAACACTGAGGAAGATAGAAGCTGGGTAGCTAAAGACTTAGTTGAGGAGGAATTAGAACTAGTGCTGAATGGTCCTCTTGGTTCAACTGGCATTTATTTATTTATTTATTTATTGAAAATTTATTTTAATCAATTATGAAGGAGAACTGTAAATGGAGGGAACTTTAAAAAGATAAAAAGCTATGAGTATCCTTAAAAGGATGGCTAAATGACTCTTCTCAGGCATTAGCTGATTCACTACTGCAATTATATTTCAATTTAATACACTGAATACCTCAGTGTGCTTCCTTGACACACACACACATATATATACACATACAAATATAAAATAGATTAAAAGTAAAATTTAAAATTTCTAATCTATTGCTTTCTCCTGCAACAAAATATTTATACTGCTCTCTTAATTTGAATCTAAAATTATTGTTTTCTTCATGCTGTTAAATGAGACTTTTCCTTGACATATTTTTCATTTCGCTTCCAATACTGGATGTTATTTAGTAAAATATATGTATGTAAACAAAGGCCTTAAATAAGTTGTGAAGTGTACAATTAGAAGCAGTGTTCATGCTGGGCGCGGTGGCTCACGCCTGTAATCCTAGCACCTTGGGAGGCAAGGCGGGCGGATCACAAGGTCTGGAGTTTGAGACCAGCCTGGCCAATATGGTGAAACCCCGTCTCTACTAAAAATACAAAAATTAGCTGGGCGTGGTGGCGGGTGCCTGTAGTCCCAGCTACTTGTGAGGCTGTGGCAGGAGAACCACTTGAACCTGGGAGGCAGAGGTTGCAGTGAGCCGAGACTGGGCCACTGCACTCCAGCCTGGGTGATAGAGCGAAACTCCGTCAAAAAAAAAAAAAAAAAAAAAAAAAGGCACTGTTCATATAATTAGGATAAAGTTTTTCCTCTTGATATTGGTTTAGCTGGTTTTCAAGTACATTCATTCAAAAGAGGCATTAATCAGGATTGTAGTTCATCTCTCTTTTTATAGCAAGCCCTGTGGCTGTGTCATCCCCGTGGTCCATTAATCTCTTACTGCATTACCCTGAAATGGTGTTGGTTATAAGTAATCATAAACTGTCAGCTTTGAAAAGCTAACATTTGTTAGCTTCATAGACATGAAAAAACTAGTGATAAGTGATGTTGTTAAAAAGTCAAATTAAATGTTAATTGATGCGAGGGCACAAAACAGCAAGGCACTTAAGAGTTTAAATGCAGGCACTACATTTATCAGAATTGACAAATTATCCTGAAGAGTTTCCATGGATATCTGCCTTTATATTTTTCTCCATCACCATTTTCCATGTAAGCATATCACAATTCAAAAGTAGTTAGGATACCACTCTTGCTGAGTGTTTACATAGTCTCATATGAAGCCATAGGCACGATTCTGATGCCATTGTATATATTTACAATGTTTTATTTTTAAACAGTGTGGTGCTCTAAGCAAAGAATAAAAGAACAGACTATCCTAGAAATTTGCATGAGGAGAAAAGAACATGCACACTCTTGGGGAATTAAAGAGAAGATTCTTTCTTAATCATCTCATACATTTAAATTACCCAGATTTGCATAAATGCTGAAGTGTGAATTGTTGCCTTAAAAAAAAAAATTCAATTCCTTTCAGACCATTGCTAATTATTCTTGGCTAATGTGGTAAAGTTAGAGGCACAGAAAGTCACTGATAATCCTGGGCTGTCTTCCCTAGAATGCTGACAGAAGGCGTGGTTAGTTTAAATTCTCTGGTTGATAAACAAGGCAGAAGTAGGCTAAAATGTGACTAAAATAGTTTTGCTTTTTTGGATCTTCGGCTGCTACTAGACTACAAAAAATGGAAACGCATTCTGGCTGACTCTAGAGGCATCACTGCTTTTATAGAAATGTTTAGTTAATCACAGATGTGTTTTTGCTAGATTTTCCTATCATTAGAACTAGTCCAGAGCCGGTTACCTGGCATGAATTTTGGATTCTGCTTGGTACGTTTTAATGTGCCAATTTTTCACAAAATATCTACTTACGAAATAATGGTATATATATATATATATATATATATATATATATATATATATATATATATAAAATAAAGGACCTAGGCTTTTTTTGAATTCTATTTAGGTGACTATTGATTTGTTATTTATTTGTATAAATAATTTTCTGTGGCCACATAAAGATTCCAATGAACATTCCCTTTTAGGGCAAGATAAATTGAGTATTCTGACCTAAGACTGACACCTGTTTACAGAATATATGAGTTAAGAATTTTTCTTAATGGCTTGGTGGATTTCCACAGCTTAGTACTCACCTGTCATTTGAATAGTCTTGTTTTCCTGGTAGGATTTTCTTTCTTCTTCATTAGAAATTTACTTGCATTCATGTTGTCCTCCATAGTAGAAAGACTTCATTCAGTGAGGCACATTTTTTTTTTTTTTTTTTTTTTTTTTTTTTTTTTTTGCTGGAAAGAAGTTTGAGAGGCCTCAAGGCAGTAGAGACAATCAGTTTGTGTTTGAATGTAAGCATTGAGAAATTAAATTGAATTCAATGGCTATTACTGAGTGGCCACCTTGTGCTTTACTGGACAGACTACAAGAAGAAATCTAAAATACAATTCCTGCCCTCTAGGCTCAAACAGTCTATTTTAAAAGGAGTGGCAAATGAAGTAGTGGGAGCCACTCTCTATAGTGGTTCAGAGTACCCAGCACAAGGGGTGTGACTGAGGGGAGTGCAGGGAGAAAACCTTGCTTTTGCTGTTTCCCTAGCTAGGTGTCTATGAGCCTGAGTCTGCCCTAAAGGGCAGTTATATGATATGTTACACGTTTCTTGCCAGCTATGCAAGAAACATTTCCTGTAACTTAACAGAAGAAATATTTAGTTTTAGTTTAAAAAACCATCCAATTTATAGTTCTTGTCAGCAGGTGGCTTTCCTCTATGCAGTGATTCTGGCTGGGACTGAGGCTCCTTATAGCTTATGATTTTACCATTTTCACCAAATAATTTCCAAAATATTAATGAGTTGTCTACTTCAAGCCACAGGCAAAAGAGAGTATGGAAACTCATATATAGGAAATATATAATGGCCCAGACACACATCAGTTCTGCTTATGTTCCATTGACTAGAAGTCTATCACGTGGCCACACCTAACCTCAGGCAAGCCTGGGAAATGTAGTCTAGCTGTGAGCCCAGGAAGAAGAGGAAATGGGTCTGATAAATAGCTAGCTAGTTATGTATCTGCCACACTTTGCCCTTCTAGTTTTCTATCATCCATGTCTATGTTTATGTCTATATCTCTCTATATATGTGTACACATATACCTATTGATAATTGTTTCACAATCGTATCTTTCAAGAATAAGTATGTTGTAGAGCTAGTACTTAGGTTGATTTTGCTTTGGTCTCAATATCTTTTAATACAGGGACAGGGAATTATGCCTGGTCTTAGTATTGTATAACACAATGTGATATAATAAGTATATATTTGTACTCTGCCCCTGGTTTTGGAGACAGAGCTTCTAAAACCTTTGTAGATGGAGATGCTAGGAGAATCTTTTATTCTAATATTTGATCCTTGACCCTGGATCTTGACACGGAGTTCCCAAGACCTTTGTAAATTTTTGAATGATAGAAGCCTCTGGCACAGAACTCCTAAATCCCTTGGAATTTCCTGGGCTATAGGTACATCTTATATTCTAATGAGATGACTTTTGGTGGGATTGTGGATAGCTTCAGGATGGGGCTAGTTGCCGGGGAAACCAATCATGTGATTAGAGGATTGGAACTTTCAGCCCTAACCCCTTGACTTCCAGAGAGGGGAGAGAGGCTGAAGGTTGAGCTGATCACCAAATAGCCAATGATGTAATCAATCATAACTATGTAATGAAACCTCCATAAAAACCCAAAAGGAGAGCTTTCAGATTCCTGAACACATGGAGGTGTCTGGAGAGTGGCATGCCTGGGGAAATCATGAAAGCTCCAAGTCCCCACCCATAGACCTCACTCTGTATATCTCTTCATCTGGCTGTTTGTTTATATTCTTTGCAATATCCTTCATAATAAATGGGTAAATGTAAGTAAAGTGTTTCCCTGAGTTCTGTGAGCCATCCTGGGAAATTAATTGACATAAGGAGCTGGTCATAAGAACCATGATTTATAGCTGGCCAGTCAGAAGTACAGGCGACAATCTGGGACTCGGCCTCTGAAGTAGGAACAGTCTTGCAGGACTGAGCTCTCAACCTGTAGGATCTGATGTTCTCTCCAGGTAGATGGTGTCACAATTCAACTGAATTATAGGACATGCAGTTGGTGTCTGCTGGAAAATTGCTTGGCTGGTGTATGGGGAAAACCCTATACACATTTTGAAGACCAGAGATGAAGTATTATGTGTTGAGTATAGTATTGAGTGTGACAGTAGAAAAAAACAGTTTTTTTCTCCCTCACATCCAGGGACAAGAAATTGTGTCCTTATACTTCCCAAAGAGACAAGCTAAGGTAGCATCTAGCTTCAAGTTAACAATGTCTTTGTATGTAGCATCCAGTTTTTAGATTTGAATGTGGCTCTATGTTGTCTGGTGGTCTGTGAACTAAAAGGAAAAACTAAGACAAACTATTTGCCCTTCCCACCTCACACCCATGGCTTTCACACATGCTCTACAAATAATGGTAAAACAGAGACAAGGTAGCCACGCTAAAAACTTCTGTCACTGAAGTGGAATATTGGAAAATTACTAATACCAGTTACCTCTGGTTCACAACATTAATGACTTCTTGTGGCAGGCATAGTGTAGACTCTCTATCTAGCTTATAGTGGAAGCTTATTTATTGATTCAGTTCTCTGGAAGAAACTCCCTTGTCCAATGTTCTCAATGGCATCTTAATTCCACTGGATGAGAGATTCCTCCTTGTCCGTTATCCTCTCTGGCCACAGTAGAATTAGGAGTTGGAGAGTATGTCTTCCTTAGGAGCTGCATAACTTTCATAGTTACTATGTGATGGTGCAATTTTGCTGTGCCCAAGAATATGCTAATGCCTGAACAAATTAAAGAATTTTTAAAAAACATCTTACAGATTCTTTGGCAATGCATTTATCTTAGAAACTTGGTAAGCTTCTGGTATATTTGTTTCCAGTCTGTTCCGATGCCAAGAGCCACTCCCAAAGTTCTTTACTAGACATACTTCTCTGGCTTCCTTTCCCTCCCTCCCTCCCTCCCTCCCTCCTTCCCTCCTTCCCTCCTTCCTTCCTCCTTCCCTCCTTCCTTCCTTCCTTCCTTCCTTCCTTCCTTCCTTCCTTCCTTCCCTCTTTCCCTCCCTTCCTCCCTCCCTCCCTTCCATCCATCCATCCTTCCTTCCTTCCTTCCTTCCTTCCTTCCTTCCTTCCTTCCTTCTTTCCCTTTGCTCTTGAAAACAGAGACCATGAGACCAGCCTAGCCAAAATAGTAAAATCCTGTCTTTACTAAAAATACAAAAAATTAGCTGGGCATGGTGGCTCACACCTGGAATCCCAGCTACTCAGCAGGTTGAGGCAGGAGAATCACTTGAACCCAGGAGGTGGAGGTTGCAGTGAGCTGAGATCACACTACTGCACTCCAACCTGGGTGACAGAGCAAATTTCTCTCACAAAATAAAAAAAAAAAAGAAAGAAAAGAAAATGGAAACCAATATACTTTTTTGTGCCTTGTACTATATTTTAATGAGATCAAGCCTACTTTCCTGTTCCCGTGTTAAACAATATTGAGATCAGGCAAAAATAACTTAGCTGCTTGCTTGAGGACATTCTTGTTCCTAAGAGATAATACTGTGAAACAACAAATACAGCCACATTTCACAGCTTGCTCATTAAGGCCTTTACCTCGCTGTGCCCAGCGATCCAAAGCTTTGAAAATCTATGGATGCATTTTATTTATCTAGCACTCACTATGCTTCTTAAATATGTCTTAGTCAGTATTTATTCTCTGGATTGATTGGAGGTTTTCCAGCCAGAGAGCTAAGGTGTTAGGGTTCTGAACAAATTTCTTGATCTTTATTCACTATCTCTTTCATGATGAGGCACCCATTTTGCTGAGACTCTTATTTAAGAAATCTTCAAGGTCTTGTTACTTATTAAGAAACTGCATGGTCTCTAACACCCTCAGTCTTTGAGGAACAGAAAGAACAAATGAGATTCTAAAATGAAACAACTTCAAAGCTCTGAGAGTCCTTTGAACTTTTATGCTCTAAGGTATTTTCATTGGCCCTAATGATAATAAGATTCACTTCTTTTCACATTCATCAATTTTTTGTCATAGGTTAGAAACAGTCTGATTCACGAATTGAGGAATATTCCCTTTAATTCTAAACCCTGTCTTGTTGCAAGCAGGATAATACTAATACTAATACTGCAAAGGGCTGATGCAGTATATTCAGTCTTGTCCTCACCAGGTACAGGAAGCCTTTTCTCAACATTCTCCTAAACCACCTTTGTATAACCTAAAATGTGAAGACTTCGTTTTCTGGAATGGATGTTAAGGATGGAAAGATCCTTAATCTCTATGAAATGGAGCAGCTGACAATCTGTATTTTATAGAGATGGTCAGCTACTCTTAATCATTAGCCGTGTAGTAAAACTGTGAGGGGTTTTATATGGGGCTAATCCTTGATTTATGTCTACCAATTTAAGAGACATAAACCATCCTCAGCTCGTTAAAGTCTTCTGACCATAGGCCTCAAGCTGATAATTCTTAGGTGTGTATCCTTCAGAAGCAGAAAATTGAGAAGAGACAGTTTTTAGGTATTTGGAAGTAGTCGACAACTGCACAAAGTAGATAGCTTCTGCCCAGACCCACAGAATAAAATGTAGTTAAACAGAGTCACATATTGCCGTGTTTTAATGAGCATGTGCTTGTTGATTTTTTCTATCTGTTTTATATATTCTGCATTAAGGTTCTGGATTTGCTAACAATGCATTTGTTATCCTTGAACTATGCTATCCATAAAGCCCCTATTTTTAATATTTTTCTTTGCATTACTAGCAACTTCTTGGGATACATCTAGTGTCTGGCTATAATTTTCTTGTGATTTGGTTAAAGAAAAATGAAACTAACTTGGTTCTATTAGTACCAATTCCTTCCAATGAATTAGCCAGTATCTTGGTTGTTTGGATTCAACTACTAAGGAAATTCTTAGATTGCAAACATACCACAGACCAGACAGCCAAAAATCTAAACCACTTACGTATAACATCTAGTATGGGAGGTTTCTGTTTTTGTTAAAACATCCAAGGACTTTTCACAGCAGTTGGCTTTTGTAACAAAAATTTCACAGAAATAGAGCTTGGAATATGACTAAGAAAAATATGGTGTACCAGTGAAAACCATCTGCTGTGGACTGAACTGTGTCCCTTACCCAAGTTTGTATGTTGAAGTCTTAACCCCCAAGTAATGGTGTTTGGAGATGGGGCCTTTGGGAAATAATTAGGTTTAGATAAGATCTTGAGGGTAAGGCCATCATGATGGGATTAATGCCCTTATAGGAAGAGACCTGAAAGTTTATGTATGCATCTCTCTCTCCCTCTCTTTCCTTCTCTTTCTCTCTGCCATGTGAGGACACAGAAGGAAGCTCTCTGTAAGAAAAGAAGAGCGCTCTCACGAGAACCTGACCATGCTGGCACTCTGATCTTGAACTTCTGTCTTCCAGAATTGTGAGAAAATAAGATTCTACTATTTAAGCTACCCAGTCCATGGTATTTTGTATGGCATCCAAACTTACTAAGACACCATCTCATTTTAACAGACTTCCAAGAAGGCTAACTTCTTAAACTGAAATTAATACTATTTTACTATAGATATAACTGATGATCTCCTTAATTTAAATCTTACCATCTGACTGTAATCCACTCTTACTTAGTGGCACTAAAAGTGTACAAAATAACTAGACAACCTCGAAGGGTATTTTGTCTTAAAAGAGAACATTGGGATACTCATAGCAAATGGTTTTGGATTTTTGCATGAAAAATTTTCTAGTTATTACTAACAAACTGGATAGGGTCTTGTTATTTCAGTAACTTAGGTTTATATTCACGATTATACTTGATATCACTTAGGTTCCATTTTGATATATTTTTCCCCTTTCAAAAAACAAAAACAAAACAAAATAAATCTTTAGGTAATTTAATTCAAAAAGAAGAAAAACCATGTCTCAACTTGAGTCCCCAAAACTTAGCTTCTAAAAGGGAATTTAGGATCTTTTTCTTCTGTTGGTGATGATTCAAAGCAGGCAGTCATAGACATAATATTGTTCTGTTTAACACTACAGAATTTTCTGGAACCTTTAATATTTCTAAAAACATCAGATAAACAAGTAAATGACGTACTACCGTCTCTTCACATTGGTAATTGTGTCTGTTCTCTTGCTTTAATTTGGGTACTCTTTAGTCTGGGTTTAGAATTGGATTTCAAAGTCTGATCCTAATACTTTTCTTAGCGTTAGCCTGTGCTGCTGTGCTCAAATGTGTTTTCTTCAGACTCTTAAATGCTATTATGTAGCCACTTTTGATCAAATGCTCCAATAAATAACAAGGAATTATTATTATTATTATTTTACTTACCCAACATTTCATTTTCTCACAGTTCTGGAGGCCAGAGGCCAGAAGTCCAAAATTAAAGGGTGGACAGGGTTAATTTATCCTGAAGCCTCTCTCCCTTTTTTTTTTTTTTAACAAGGAAACTTAACACATGACTGTTACTCATCAAATAGTAATGCACATTTGGATTGATCATGATTCTCAGTAACAAATAATCTGTCTTCTAAAGTAGGCAGAAGAATGACCAAATGTGGAAACTGATAACTGAAATCAAAATTTCTCATGCCTGTGTTAAATAAAGTATGTTAGACCATACTTTCCTGCCCTATGAACATAGTTTGTTTTCTATGAGTTAACCATAAGACTAGTCATATATCCTTGTCCCTATTTAAATAGTACTGAGACCAGCCACAAGTTAGTTGTTTGCTCAGGGACGCATCTTTTCCTGGAATATAAAGTGATAAAGCAACTAATATGCTAATTACAAACAACAACTTGCTCATCAAGGCTGCTTCAAGGCCATTGCCTCACTGGGCTCACAACATCCAAAGCTAGCATGTCATAATTCGATCATTCTGAACCATATTCTTGCTTTACAATGCCTGCCTTAAAAATCACTCGACCCAGGCTCTAGAACCTTCTTACCATTCGCTAATTTTCACCCTTTTAAATACTATAAGTTTAATAAACTCACCTTTGAATAATTAATATGTTTTCCTGGAGGAGTTTGTGAGGGAGATTCAATATCTCTTTTCTCTCTTTCTCAGTTTGGTGAACTGTCTTTAGGCCATGTGAAATACAAATAGCCTTGCATAGGAAGAAAGTGCTCTCGATCGGACTTATTGACAGTTGAGACACTTTGCTTAACTGAGCAATCATAATGAGCTTTAGTTCTTCAAAATAATCTTCAGTTTTACATTACTTTACTTGAGGTTTAAAAGCAGTTTGGTTTTCTAATTTTCTAATCCTTCAAGGCCTTGTCTATACTCCTTCAATTTTCTTTCAAATCACCCAATTCTGCCCTTAGGAAAAAAACATGTTTTTACTGTTATACTTTGCAAAAAGCAAAATGGAAAAGTAATCCTCACTGTAACTTTTTGTAACCACTCTTCCTGGAGCTACAGTCTAAGTAGGCATGCAATTTGCATTCCAGATTATCTCTGGTGACAGTTTTGCTATTTTGCCATTGTGTAACATAGGTCTCTATCTTTTCAGCCTTCAATATCAATTGCTTTGCTATCTACCAGACGATAACATTTCTGGTTCCAATTTCTGTATTAGTTTGGTTAATACCAACTGTTGACACAAATACCAGTGGATTAACATTTATAGTACACTCCTGTAACAGTCCAAAGCAGGTATTTCTGATTGTGAAGTACTTTTGTTCACAAAATGAATTCATCTGTGGTTCCACCATCTTCAGTTTCTACTTTCTAAGATTGATGTTGACTCAAATTGGGGAATGTGGAAAGAGAGGAAGATAATTTCACGTAAGAAGTTTCTTTATGGGTTAAACCAAAATGCCACACATCGCTTCTATTCATATTGAATTGGTACTACTCAATCACATGGCCAAACTCAACTGCAAGGAAGCCTGGAAAATGTAGTACAGGCTTAGGCCTAGGAGACAAAGGAAATGAGTTTGATGTGAAGGTAGGCAGTCTCTGCCACAATTGTGTCTTTTTAAGCACACATGTAACCACATTAGTAAACAGATGCCCTGAGACTATATCAGGCAGTAGATAATAGTGTCAGAAATAGAAATAGAAGAGCACAACCTGTCATGTGGCTGGAGAAATGGTTAGTGAAAGTCATCACTTAAAATATGAATCAGGAAAGACATAAAATATGTTATAGGTGAGTAGAATATACAGAATTGATGTACAGAATTTGTGGATGAATGTAATTCTTTTGGAGAGAACATTGGATGTAAGTGTATAAGGGCAAAAATGACTATGATGTGTTTCAGCGACAGTGAGAGGATTTGCTTTGCCATAGCAGATTTCTTTTAAAGATTAAGAAAAATTAAAGATGAGTAGGGAGACTGGAATGTAGTAGAGATCTTTTAATGCCATTCACACTAAAAAAACTCATTCTAGAACTATTTGAATAGCATCGATCATTTATAGTAATTATCTACTTATATATTTATTCTCTTTAGCCTTGCTGCATATATTTCAGCACTTGATGTTTTCATTTAGATGGAAGCAAGTTCTGTGTGAAGAAGAGATACACAGACTCTGAAAAGGGGATAGATTGGGAATGGGCTATCATGCATTCATTATGCTCCTCCAATGTCAGCAGGAGTTTTCTGGGTCGCTGGCAGTTGTGTGCATAATGGCTGGAAGACTGGGTCCTAATTACTAAGACTAGCATTGCAGAGGCATAGCTAAGTACAACTTTGTTGGAACATAATATCTTTGTCTGAGGTGATTAGACATTACAGATAGGTTATTTAAAAATGCACAGGTAAAACTTTAATTTTCTCTGTCCAATCAGTGTAATTCTACTAGATAATATGACTGCTTTTTAAAAGTAAGACATTGATAATTAAATCTTTCAAAAGGTATAGTCTATTTTAAATGAAAGTCAATTCATAATGTTGTAGTGTTCACACAGGGCTGCCTTATAATTAAAAAAGTTAATTTTATATTTTTGTATCCTAGTAACCTAAAATGTGCTTCAAAAAAACACAGCGAGCTGTTTAGGAAGGATTAGAAGGACAGAAATACCTGGATACAACTCTATGTCTCCCTAGTGATCTCTTTTTCGCCCACATAGGATGATGTTCTTTGATGAGAAAAACAAAACTACTCAATTTAGCCTTTTTAAAAGTTTGTGACAGTAAACACAAATTTCAAATAATTTATTTTATTGTTTTAAAATTTATACTTTAAAATGACATTCTCATCTTTTATTACTATTGAAAGATGCTATTGAATTGAACCTTTCAATATTGTATAATTAACACATGAAATGTATATTATATATAATGGACAATCTTCAATTATCATATCTTATCTAAGAAATCTGATGAGAGAAATAGCTTATGAATTTGAAAAGATTATCTCATTTTTTTCTCTTTCTTTTATTAGTGTTATTATTAATAAGTAGAGTGACCATATAATTTATCAACCAGATTGGGACATTTTTGAGAGTGAAAGTGGTAATTATCTAAGATCAGATATATTTACTAACACATGTTGATAAGTCTACATGGATAACTGAAATTAGTTAAGGAAGGTAAAAGATTGAGTCATAGTTTGTTAGCATTTATCAAACACTTCTGTATGGCAGGGACTCTACTAAGCACTGTATATGCATAATCTTATTAAACTTTCACTAGCACATGAGGTAATTTTTATTATAGCCATATTCTAGATGAGGAAACTATGGCTTACAGAGATTAAATAACTTTTCCAAGAATACATATTAGGTATGTATCAGAGACTGATTTTAAGTTTTATCTACTTATTTAAATGATTGAAAATAACACTATAGGCAATTGGCAGTAAAGATATAAATAACTGACAGTTCTATTACGTCTTTAATTCAATATTGTGATTTTTAACATTGAGTGCCAGCTTAGCGCAGTACAATAGAATATCTGCTGGACTTCTAAGGTTTTTAACTCTAGTACCTGACTCCCAGATGCCACCTCTGGACCCACCTGGGGCCTGAAGAAACTTGCTGACCTGAAGGTAAGGGCACGGTCCTGGCTGGCTTTGCCACCTGCTAATTGTAGAGCCTCAGCACCTTAAGCAAACATAGACAGTAGCCAGGGAGCAGTTACAGCAGGCGTTGGGTGAGACACAATGCTGTACTTGCTTCAGGTCTGACTCAGCACAGTCATAGTGGTGGTGGCCACAGGGGCACTTGTGTCACTTCAACTCCAGGTTTAGGTAGCTCAGAACAGAGAGAAAGAGAGACCAGAGAATTCTCCTGGATCTGGTCCAAGACCATCAGGGAAGTACTTCTATGAGTCTCAAGCACAACACCATTACTAGGCTTGGGGTGCCCCCTAAAGCAGACAGCCTAGATCACAACACCCAAGTCCTTCAAATATCTTGAAAGCCTTCCCAAGAAGGACAGGTACAAAAAAGCCCTGAAAATGAAGACTACAATCAATACCTAACTCTTTAATGCCTAGACACTGAAGAACATCTACTAGCTTCAACACCATCCAGAAAAACATGACCTCACCAAATGAACTAAATAAGTCACCAGTGACCAATCCTAGGGAAACAGAGATATGTGACCTTTCAGACAGAAAATTCAAAAGAGCTATGTTGAGGAAACCCAAGAAATTCAAGATAACAAAGAAGGAATTTAGAATTATATCAGATAAATTTAACAAAAAGATTGAAATAATTTAAAAGAATCAAGCCAGAAATTTTGGAGCTGAAAAATGCAATTGGCATACTGAATAATGCATCAGAGTTCTTTAACAGCAGAATGAATCCAGCAGAAGAAAAAAATTAGTGAGCTTGAAGAAAGCCTGTTTGAAAATACACAGTCAGAGGAGACAAAAAAAAAAAAAAAAAAAAGAGTACAAATCAATGAAGCACACTTACAGGATCTTGAAAACAGCCTCAAAAGGGCAAATCTACAAGTTACTGGCCTTAAAGAAGAGGTAGAAAAATAGATAGGCATAGAAATTTTATTCAAAGGGATAACAGAGAACTACCCAAACCTAGAGAAAGATAGTAATATTCAAGTACAAGAAGTTACACATACAGATTTAATTCAAAGAACACTTACCTCAAGGCATTTAATAAACTCCCAAAGATCAAGGATAAGGAAAGGATTCTAAAAGCAGCAAGAGGAAAGAAACAAATAACATGCAATAGAGCTCTGGCAGCACACATAGACTGAAAAATAGAGATGGCAGGAATACCTCCAAACTCATTCTGCAAGGTCAGTATTATACTGATACCCAAACCAGACAAAGACACATCAAAAAAGAAAACTGCAGGCCAATATCTCTGATGAATATTGATGCAAAAGTCCTCAACAAAATTCTAGAAAACCAAATTTAAGAATACATTAGAAAGATCATTTGTCATGACCAAGTGGAATTTATCCCTATGATACAAGGAGGGTTCAACATATACAAATCAATCCATGTAATACATCAAATCAACAGAATGAAAGATAAAAACTATATGATCATTGCAGTTGATGCTGAACAAGCATTTGATAGAAGTCAACATCACTTCATGATAAAAACCCTAAAAAAAACTGGGGATAGAAGGGACATAACTCAACATAAAAAAAAAGCCATAAATGACAGACCCTCAGCTAGTGCCATGCTGAATGAGGTAAAACTGAAAGCCTTTCCTGTAAGATCTGGAACATGACAAGGATGCCCACTTTCACCACTGTTATTCAACATAGTCCTGGAAGTCCTAGATAGAGCAATAAGACAAGAGAAAGAAATAAAAGACATCCAAACAGGAAAAGAAGAAGTCAAATAATCCTTGTTTGGAGATAATATGGTCTTACATTAGGAAAAATCTAAAGACTCCACAAGAAAACTCTTAGAACTGATAAAACAAATTTAATGAAGTTGCAGAATACAAAATCAACGTACAAAAATTAGTAGCATTTTTATATGCCAAGAGTGAACAATCTGAAAAAGAAATCAAAATGGTATTCTCATTTACAACAGCCACAAATAAAATAAAATCCCTAGGAATTAACCAAAGAAGTGAAAGATCTCTATAATGAAAACTATAAAACACTGATGAAAGAAATTGGAGAGGACACAAAAAATGGGAAAATATTTCATGTTCATGAATTAGAAGAATCAATACTGTTAAAAATGTTATATTACCCAAAGCAATCTACAGATTTCATGCAATCCCTGTCAAAATACCAGTGGCACGCTTCACAAAAATAGAAAAAAACAACTAAAATTTATATAAAACCACAAAAGACCCAGAATAGGCAAAGCTGTCCTAAGTAAAAAGAACAAAACTGGAGTAATCACATTATCTGACTTTATATTATGCTACAGAGGTATAGTAACCCATGAGCATGGTGCTGGCATAAAAACTGACACATAGGCCAAAGGAACAAAATAGAGAACCCATAAACCAATTGAAACACCTACAGTGAACTCATTTTTGATAAAGGTGCCAAGAATATACATGTGGGGAAAGAGTCTTTTCAATAAATGATGCTAGGAAAACTGGATATCCATATGCAAAAGAATGAAACTAGACCCCTTTCTCTTCCCATATACAAATATCAAATCAAAATGGGTGAAATATTTAAATTTAAGACCTCAAACTATGAAATCACTACAAGAAAACATTGGGGAAAATCTCCAGGACATTTGTCTGGGCAAAATTTTTTTGGTCAGTACCCCACAAGCACAGGCAACCAAAGTAAAAATGGACAAATGGGATCACATCAAGTTAAAAAGCTTCTGCACAGCAAAGGACAAAATCAACAAAGTAAAGAGACAACCTACAGAATGGGAGAAAATATTTTCCTATTACCCACTTGACAAGGGATTAATAACCAGCATATATATGTGTGTGTGTATATATACATATGTGTATACACATATGTATACACATACATATGTGTATACACACGTATGTGTATACACATATGTATACACATACATATGTGTATACACACGTATGTGTATACATATACGTATGTATATGTATATATGTGTATACATATATATGTGTGTATATGTATATGTATATACACATATATACACACACACATATATACACACACACATATATATATATACACACACACACACACATATATATATAGAGAGAGAGCTCAAACAACTCTATAGGAAAAAATCTATTAATCTGATAAAAAAATGGCAAAACATTTAAATAGACATTTCTCAGTTGACAATGAATAGACATTTCTCAAAAGATGACATACAAATGGCACACAGGCATATAAAAAGGTGCACAACATCACTGATCATCAGGAAAATGCAAATCAAAACTACAATGAGATATCATCTCACTCCAGTTAAAATGGCTTTAATCCAAAAGACAGGCAATAACAAATGCTGACAAGAATGCAGACAAAAGGGAAGCCTTATACACTGTTGGTGGGAATGTAAATTAGTACAAGTGCTATGGAGAACAGTTTGGAAGTTTTTCAAAAAATTGAAAAGTAGAGCTACCATGTGATCCAGCAATCCCACTGCTGGGTAGGTATATAACCAAAAGAAAGAAGAGCAATACATCAAAGAGATATCTGCATTCCTATGTCTGTTGCAGCACTGTTCACAATAGTTAAGATTTGGAAGCAATCTAAGTGTCCATCAACAGATGTTTACTTATATACAGTGGAATACTATTCAGCCAAAAAAAAGAATGTGATCCAGTCATTTGCAAAACATAGGTGGAACTGGAGATTATTATGTTAAGTGAAATAAGCCAGGTACAGAAAGGCAAAAATCACTCTACTTATTTGTGGGATCTAAAAATCAAAACAGTTGAACTCATGTGCATAGAGAGTAGAAGGATATGGTTAGCAGAGGCTCAGAAGTGTAGTTGTGAGGAAGAGGCTGGAAAATGAGAATTGTTAATGGGTACCAAAAAAAAAATAGAAAGAATGAATAAGACCCACTATTGGATAATAGAGCAGGGTGACTATAGTCAATAATAACTTAATTGTACGTGTTAAAATAACTAAAAGAGTATAACTGTATTGTTTGCAATACAAAGGATAAATGCTTGAAGGGATGGGTATCCCATTCTCCATGATGTGATTATTATGCATTGCGTTCCTGGATAAAACATCACATGTACTCCATAAATATGTTCACCTTCTATGTACCCACAAAAATTTATAATTAAAAAATTGAAATAGTAGAAAAGTCATAAATGAAAACCAAAAAGATCATTCCTATTCACACTTAATCAAGCTTCACATTCCAGAAGTAATGATTTTCAATAATTTATGTTTTTGCTTTTTCAAAGTTATCTTAGAAGCTCTAAAATTATATGCTAATTCTTTAATTTGATATTTTTATATCAGAGTTTTTTTTATTAAATAACATTCTATGTTTCTTCCATTTGTTGAGATTTTTTTAATATATTTGAATTAAATTTATAATTCTTTTAATATAAATCCTGTCCCTTAATTATTAAATATATTCCTAAGTATTTTATGATTTTTGATGATGTAAAGAATGGAATGTTTTTCTCATTTCCACATATATGTATTAATGTAGGAAAGGCAGAAAGTTAAGTATTTATATGTTTTCAACTTGAACTACCCATCTTGCTGAATGTCCTCATAATTTGGTAGGTTTTTTCTTACTGTAATTTTTGAGATTTTCTAAATACAGTTATATCGTCACCAAAACATTCTATTTTTTTCTAATGCTGATATTGATTGTCTAATTTTTAAAATTGCATTTGCTATAACTTCAAAACCAATGCTGAATAATTACGATGATGGAGGACATTATGCCTTTTTGTGATTATAATGAAACTGTTTTACCACTTAGGATAAAGTTTGCTGTTGTATTTTAGTAAATCGCGAAGTAATTTCTTTTTATTGCAATTTGTCTTAAACTTGATTAGCTGATTAATTTTATCAAATGCCATTATAGCATCTGGTAATAAAATCATTTTATTTTTTATTCAATGTGTAAGATAATGAATTACATAGATAAATTTTCTCATTTTGAACAATTTATTCATTTCTAGAGTAAACGATAATCTGACTCTTTGTTCAGATTTTTGTGTTTTCTGCATTGTATCTCTCTGCTCTCTCTTCTCCAACAATCAACACTCTCCCTGCCTTATTCTTGACTTAGAGTATTTCCAAGGCCTGCTTCTGGATTCTTGTTTTCTAGCCCTATGCTTAATTCATCTTTATTTACTTCTTTTCTTTATCTATCATTCTTACTAATGATGTAATTCCTATTAGACTTAGAGATGTAATGGAGGCAGATTAGGGGTGCAAGGGAGATGGATATAAGTGCTCTTTCTGCCATCTGGAATCAGAGTTGTGTTGCTAGATTTGACTCCAGATCTTAGTCTGAAACATGCTCTAGGCCTATACACTATGCTGCTTCTTTAATATTAGAACTAGAGCTCTAACAGTGGTAATATATGTATGTGGCAAGGAAGACTGAAAACAAAAGTGTGATTACTGTGGAAAATTAAAAGATTGATAACATAAGTTTAAAAAAGAAGTAGCAGAGAAAGTCTGGAATTTACTGTCATCACTGCAGCAGTGACTGGTGTCAGAAGTGGGCATGATGGTTGAGACTTAACTCTCTTCTAAACATTGGGAAATCTGGATCTCTTGTAAGGCATTCTCCATGTATTTATTTAGACTAAGAATGAACTTTATATCCTTGTTGATAAAAACCAAATTATTTATGCAAGAACATAATGAGCATGCTAATTCCAACACTTCCAATGTGTGAAAGTGAGTCTGTGTGTGATACATAGGCTTAAAAAAGGCTGTGTAGATTCCTGGGCGAGATGACTGAATAGGAATAGCTCTAGTCTGTAGCTCCCAGTGAGACCAACAAAGAAGGCAGGTGATTTCTGCATTTCCAACTGAAGTACCCAGTTCATCTCACTGGGGCTGGTTAGACAATGGGTGCAGCCCACAGAGGGTGGACAGAAGCAGGGTGGGGTGTTGCCTCAGCCAGGAAGTGCAAGGGGTTGGGGAACTCCCTCCTCTAGCCAAGGGAAGCCATGAGGGACTGTGCTATGAGGGATGGTGCTATCTGGCCCAGATACTATGCTTTTCCCATGGTCTTTGCAACCTGCAGACCAGGAGATTCCTTTGGGTGCCTACACTACAAGGTTCCTGGGTTTTAAGCACAAAACGGGTGGCCATTTGGGCAGACACTGAGCTAGCTGCAGGATTTATTTTTTTGTACCCCAGTGGTGCATGAAAGACCAGCAAGACAGAACCATTCACTCCCCTGGGAAGGGGGCTGAAGCCAGGGAACCAAGGGGTCTTGCTCAGCAGATCCCATCCCCATGGAGCCCAGAAAGCTAAGTGGGCTTGAAATTCTCGCTGCTAGTACAGCAGTCTGAAGTCGACCTTTGACTCTTGAGCTTGGTGGGGGAAGGGGCATCCACCATTACTGAGGCTTGAGTAGGGGATTTTCCCCTCACTGTGTAAACAAAGCCACCAGGAAGTTCAGACTGGGCGGAGCCCTCTGCAGCACCACGAAGCCAGATTGCCTCGCTAGATTCCTCCTCTATGGGCAGGGGATCTCTGAAAGAAAGGCAGCAGCCCCAGTCAGGGGCTTATAGATAAAACTCCCATCTCCCTGGGACAGAGCACCTGGAGGAAGGGGTGGCTGTGGATGCAGCTTCAGCGACTTAAATGTTTCTGCCTGCTGGCTCTGAAGAGAGCAGCAGATCTCCCAGCACAGCGCTTGAGCTCTGCTGAGGGACAGACTACCTTTTCAAGTGGGTCTCTGACCCCCATGCCTCCTGATGGGGAGACATCTCCCAGCAGGGTTCAACAGACACCTCATACAGGAGAGCTCCAGCTAGCATCTGGCAGATGCCCCTCTGGGGAGAAGCTTCCAGAGGAAGGAGCAGGCAACAGTCTTTGCTGTTCTCAGCTTCCACTGGTGATATCCAGGTAAACAGGGTCTGGAGTGGACCCCCAGCAAACCCCAGCAGACCTGCAGAAGAGGGTCCTGACTGTTAGAAGGAAAACTAACAAACAGAAAGCAATAGCATCAACATCAATAAAAAGGATGACCATGCAAAAACTCCATCTGACTGTCACCAACAGCAAAGACCAAAGGTAGATAAATCCACAAAGAAGAGCACAAAAAGGCTGAAAATTCCAAAACCCGGAATGCCTCTTCTCCTCCAAAGGATCACAACTCCTCACCAGTAAGGGAACAAAACTGGACAGAGAATGAGTTTGACGAATTGACAGAAGTCGGCTTCAGAAGGTGGGTAATAACAAATTCCTCTGAGCTATAGGAGCATGTTCTAACCCAATGCAAGGAAGGTAAGAACCTTGATAAAAGGTTAGAGGAATTGCTAACTGGAATAACCAGTTTAGAGAAGAACATAAATGACCTGATGGAGCTGAAAAACACAGCACGAGAACTTCATGAAGCATACACAAGTATCAATAGCTGAATCTATGAAGTGGAAGGAAGGATATCAGTTATTGAAGATCAACTTAATGAAATAAATCAAGACAATATTAGAGAAAAAACAGTGAAAAAGAATGAACAAAGCCTCCAAGAAATATGCAACTATGTGAAAAGGCTAAACTTATGTTTAATTGGTGTACCTAAAAGTGACAGGGAGAATGGAACCAAGCTGGAAAACACACATTATCCAGGAGAACTTCCCCAACCTAGCATGATAGGCCAAAATTCAAATTCAGGAAATACAGAGAACAGTGCAAAGATACTCCTCTAGAAGAGCAACTCCAAGACACCTAGTCATCAGATTCACCAAGGTTGCAATAAAGGAAAAAATGTTAAGGGCAGCCGGAGAGAAAGGTTGGGTTATCCACAAAGGGAAGCCCATCAGACTAACAGCGGATCTCTCTGCAGAAATCCTACAAGCCAGAAGAGAGTGGGGGCCAATATTCGACATTCTTAAAGAAAAGAATTTTCAATCCAGAATTTCATATCCAGCTAAATTAATCTTCATAAGTGAAGGAGAAACAAAATTCTTTACAGACAAGCAAATGCTGAGGGATTTTGTCACCACCAGGCCTACCTTACAGGAGCTCCTGAAGGAAGCACTAAATATGGAAAGGAAAAACTGGTACCTGCTACTGCAACAACAAACCAAAATGTAGAGACCATCAACACTATCAAGAAACTGCATCAACTGATGGGCAAAAGAACCAGCTAACAACATAATGACAGGATCAAATTCACACATAACAATATTAACCTTAAATGTAAATGGGCTAAATGCCCAAAATAAAAGGCACATACTGGCAAATTAAATGAAGAGTCAAGACACATCGGGGTGCTGTATTGAGGAGACCCATCTCACATGCAAAGACATACATAGGCTCAAAATAAAGGGATGGAGGAAGATTTACCAAGAAAATGGAAAGCAAAAAAAGGCAGGGGTTGCAATCCTAGTCTCTGATAAAACAGACTTTAAACCATCAAAGATCAAAAAAGACAAGGACATTACAAAATGGTAAAGGGATCAATGCAACAAGAAGAGCTAACTATCCTAAGTATATATGTACCCAATACAGGAGCACCTAGATTTGTAAAGCAAGTTCTTAGAGACCTACGAAAAGACTTAGACTCTCACACAATAATAATGAGAGACTTTAACACCTCACTGTCACTATTAGACAGATCAATGAGACAGAAAATTAACAAGGATATTCAGTACATGAACTTAGCTCTGGACCAAGTGGACCTAATAGACATCTACAGAACTCTTCTCCTCAAATCAACAGAATATACATTCTTCTCAGCACCACATAGCACTTATTTTAAAATTGACCACATAATTGGAAGTAAAACACTCCTCAGCAAATGCAAAAAATGGAAATCATAACAAACAGTCTCTCAGACCACAGTGCAATCAAATTAGAACTTAGGATTAAGAAACTCACTCAAAACTGCACAACTACATGGAAACTGAACAACCTGTTCCCCAGTGACTACTGGGTAAATGATGAAATTGTGGCAAAAATAAATAAGTTATTTGAAACCAATGAGAACAAAGACACAATGTACCAAAATCTCTGAGACACAGCTAAAGCAGTGTTTAAAGGGAAATTTATAGCACTAAATGCCCACAGGAGAAAGCGGGAAAGATCTAAAATGGACATCATAACATCACAATTAAAAGAATTAGAGAAGCAAAAGAAAACAAATTCAAAAGCTAGCAGAAGACAAGAAATAACTAAGATCAGATCAGAAGTGAAGGAGATAAAGACACGAAAACCCTTCAAAAAATCAATGAAACCAGGAGCTGGGTTTTTTTTAAAAGATCAACAAAATAGATAGCCAGACTAATAAAGAAGAAAAGAGAGGAGAATCAAATAGACCTAATAAAAAATCATAAAGGGGAGATCACCACTGATTGCACAGAAATACAAACTACAATCAGAGAATTCAATAAACACCTCTATGCAAATAAACTAGAAAATCTAGAAGAAATGGATAAATTCCTGGACACATATACCCTCCTAAGACTAAACCAGAAAGAAGTGGAATTCCTGAGTAGACCAATAACAAGTTCTGACATGCAGGCAGTAATTAATAGCCTACCAATCAAAAAAAGCACAGGACCAGGCAGATTCACAGCTGAATTCTACCAGAGATACAAAGAGGATCTGTTACCATTCCTTCTGAAACTATTCCAAACAAAAGAAAAAGAGGGACTCCTCCCTAACTCGTTTTATGAGGCCAGCATTATCCTGATACCAAAACCTGGCAGAGACACAACAAATAAAGACAATTTCAGGCCAATATCCCCGATGAACATCAATGTTAAAATCCTCAATAAAATACTGGCAAACCCAATCCAGAAGCACATTAAAAAGCTTATCCACCACGATCAAGTTGGCTTCATCCCTGGGACACAAGGCTGGTTCAATATAGGCAAATCAATAAATGTAATCCATCACATAAACAGAACCAATGACAAAAACCACATGATTATCTCAACAGATGCAGAAAAGGCCTTTGATAAAATTCAATACCCCTTCACACTAAAAACACTCAATAAACTAGGTGTTGATGGAACACGTCTCAAAATAATAAGAGCTATTTATGACAAACCGACAGCCAATATCATACTGAAAGGCCAAAAGCTGGAAGCATTCCCTTTGAAAACTGGCACAAGACAAGGATGCCCTTTCTTACCACTCCTATTCAACATAGTATTGGAAGTTCTGGCCAGGGCAATCAGGCAAGCGAAAGAAAGAAACGGTATTCAAATAGGAAGAGAGAAAGTCAAATTGTCTCTGTTTGCAGATGACATGATTGTATATTTAGAAAACCCCATCATCTTGCCCAAAAATTTCTTGAGCTGATAAGCAACTTCAGCAAAGTCTCAGGATATAAAATCAATGTGCAAAAATCACAAGCTTTCCTATACACCAATAAGAGACAAACAGAGAGCCAAATCATGAATGAAATCCCATTCACAATTGCTGCAAAGAGAACAAAATACCTAGGAATACAGTTAACAAGGGATGTGAAGGACTTTTCAAGGAGAACTATAAACCACTGCTCAAGGGGATAAGAGAGGACACAAACATATGGAAAAACATTTCATGCTCATGGATAGAAAGAATCAATATCATGAAAATGGCCATACTGCCCAGAGTAATTTATAGATTCAATGCTATTCCCATCAAGTTACCATTGACTTTCTACACAGAATTGGAAAAAACTACTTTAAATTTCATATGGAACCAAAAGAGAGACCATATAGCCAAGACAATCCTAAGCAAAAAGAACAAAGCTGGAGGCATTACACTATCTGATTTCAAACTATACTACAAGGCTACGGTAAGCAAAACAGCATGATACATGTACCAAAACAGATATATAGACCAATGGAACAGAACAGAGGCCTCAGAAATAACACCACACATCGACAACCACCTGATCTTTGACAAACCTGACAAAAACAAGCAATGGGGAAATAATTCCCTATTTAATAAATGGTGTTGGGAAAACTGGCTAGGCATATGCAGAAAACTGAAACTGGACCCCTTCCTTACACCTTTTACAATAATTAACTCAAGATGGATTAAACATTTAAACCTAAGACCTAAAACCATAAAAAATCCTAGAAGAAAACCTAGGCAATACCATTCAGGACTTAGGCATGTGCAAAGACTTCATGACTAAAACACCAAATGCAAGGGCAACAAAAGCCAAAATTGACAAATGGGATCTAATTAAACTAAAGAGCTTCTGTGCAGCAAAAGAAACTATCATCAGAGTGAACCAGCAACCAACAGAATGGGAGAAATGTTTTGCAATCTATGCATTTGAAAAAGGGCTAATATCTGGAATCTACAAGGAACTTAAACAAATTTACAAGAAAAAAAAACACATCAAAAAGTGGGTGAAGGATGTGAACAGACACTTTTCAAAAGAAGACATTTATGTGGCCAAAAAACATGAAAAAAATCTCATCATCACTGGTCATTAGAAAAATGCAAATCAAAACCACAATGGGATGCCGTCTCACACCAGTTAGAATGGCGATCATTAAAAAGTCAGGAAACAACAGATGCTGGAGAGGATTTGGAGAAATAGGAACGCTTTTTACACTGTTGGTGGAAGTGTAAATAGTTCAACCATTGTGGAAGACAGTGTGGTGATTCCTCAAGGATCTGGAACTAGAAATATCATTTAACCCAGCAATCCCATTACTGGGTATGTACCCAAAGGATTATAAATCATTCTAGTATAAAAACACATGCACAAGTATGTTTATTGTGGCACTATTCACAATAGCAAAGACTTGGAACCAACTCAAATGCCCATCAATGATAGACTGGATAAAGAAAATTTGGCGCATATACACCATGGAATACTACACAGCATAAAAAAGAATGAGTTCATGTCTTTTGCAGGGACATGGATGAAGCTGTAAACCATCATTCTCAGCAAACTAACACAGGAACAGAAAACTAAACACTGCATGTTCTCACGGGAGTTGAACAATGAGAACATATGGGCACAGAGAAGGGAACATCACACACCAGGGCCTGTCAGGGGGTGGAGGGCAAGGGGAGGTATAGCATTAGGAGAAATATCTAATGTAGATGACGGGTTGATGGATGCAGCAAACCACCATGGCACATGTATAACTATCTAACAAACCTGCACGTTCTAAACATGTATCCTAGAACTTAAAGTATAATTAAAAAAAAGAAAGAAAAACAAAGAAAAAAAGGCCTTGTAAAATTGTCCAGGATTGTTGTAATAGAAAAGTTGGAGAATGCTTTTCTTCATACTTTATGTAAGGGTAAAATTAAGGTCTTTCAAATCAACACTTTTCATTTAGCTTTTGCACCTCTATAAAGAAGAGTAGTGCGGAAACATACGGAACCATTACTATGGAATGTATCCACAATTATATATGTTGCTAGTGAACTCTCACTAGCTGCTTAGGTATCAACAGCTAATGTAAACTTCATCATAGATGCTCTTTGTAACATTAATTGTAATGTCTTTTAGAAAGGGTTGAAGAAAATTAGCAAAATTCAATAAAAATAAAATTAGGTAAAATTTAAATGTAAGTGTGTACTACCATTCAGTTAAATGTTTGAGGTTGAAATTAATGCATCGATTATTTAGAGTATATCTAATTCTAAACTAATTGAAATGAATAATTTTGTCCTCTTTCCAGAAGCAACTTTTTAATCACAGCTAATTTTGGTTAAAGTTTTGTTGTATATGTTAACAACACCCAAAACATTGCTTATTTTTACATGAGATTTTTTTCAGCTATGATTTATTACCCTCCAGAAAAATGTGTTTGTGTGTACACCTTTTTTGTCATAGGATAGTACTTCATAAAGATCTCTATCACAGCAGTTTTAAGCTTTAATAGTTTGTCTTTACTTGACCTCCTCCACATGGGTTAATCATGTAAGTCTTTTCATTTCACACATGGCTAGAGTTAGCTGCACTCCATGAAACTGTGAGTTGTATTCCTTTGGCATGTCTATCTTGACCTTTGATATAAGCTAATGTTACATTAAAGTCCACAGGATTAATTTAATTGAATTTTGTTTAAGAGTGTTGGAGCATTGTATCTTTGTATTAGTTTGCTACACTGCCATAATAAAGGACCATAAACTGAGTGGCTTACACAACAGAAAGTTAGTTTCTTATAATTTTGGGAGCCAGAAATTCGAGATCAAAGTGTTGGCAGGATAGGTTTCTTCTTCAACCTGTCTCTTTGGCTTGTAGGTGGCTCTCTTCTTCTTCCTGTGTCTTCATAGGTTCATCGTTTGTGCATATTGGTGTCCTAGTCTCTTCTTTTTCTTTTTTTGAGATACGGTCTTGCTCTGCCACCCAGGCTGGAGTGCAGTAGTGTGTGATCTCTGCTCACTGCAACCTCTATCTCCTGGGTTCAAGCCATCCTCCCACCTCAGCCTCCCAAGTAGCTGGGACTGCAGGTGTGTGCCACCATATTTGGCTAATTTGTGTATTTTTTTGTAGAGACAGGGTTTTGCCATGTTGCCAAGGTTGGTCTTGAACTCCTGGGCTCAAGCAATCCACCTGTCTTGGCTTCTCACCTACCTCTTCTTATAAGGACACCAGTCATTTTGAATTAGGACACACCCTAATGGCTACATTTTAACTTAATTAGGTCTCTTTTTCTCTCTCTCTCTCTCTCGCTCTTCCTTTTTTAGAGACTAGGGCTTGCTCTGTTGCTCAAGCTGGATACGAATTCCTGGGCTCAAACAATTCTCACACTTCAGCCTCCTGAGTATCTGGGGCTACAGGTTCACACCACACTGTGTCAGGGTCCTAATTACCTCTTAAACAACCTTGTCTCAAAGTGCAGTCACATTCTCAGGTATGTGAGAGTTGAAGTTCTGGGAGTCACAACTTCAACATATGAATTTTGAGAGAACACAATTTAGCCCATGTCAGTCTTACTAATGCCTATCAGCAAATTGTTAGTTACATGGAATTAAAAACAAACCACTTGATTTTTGCCATAATTTCTTTTAGTAAAAAATATCAATAAATGCTTCCTTTGGTGAGAAAAAAAGGTATATTAGATTTATTGTGGAAAAAGATGATCTTTATGGCACCTCTTAGTTCTGAAATTCTATCGTTTTACTATCTCTGTGTGCAATTCTTCTTACCTTTCTCTGCCTCCCATAATTTCACAAGATTGGTTTTTAAATGTTAATATTTGGGAATGTAAATAAGGAAACATTACATTTGAAAAATATGATTAGGACAACTGAGCTTTTATGATTTATAAAAAATTATAACAACCAATATTTGTGAATTAGTAGAAAATATTTAATAAAAGATTTGCTTATGTGGTTGGATAAACATGTATTACTTCAATTTTTAAAATATTTTAGCTTACTGAAAGTTACCTAACATGATTTATCAGCATTGTTAAATTCTAAGGGAAAAAACAGCAAGAGAGAAAGTACTTAAAGTACATTTAATGCTGATTTGAAAGTAATTTTATTATTCTTTAATAATTTAAAAGCCACTTTAGGATCATTGCCTCGATGGAAAAATAATAGTTATTTTTGAGTTTTTAATAAAAGGAACAGAGATGTCTATTGTTTATTGAATTTATCTTTAGTATTTTTAACATATCATTTAATATGTTAAAAATATGAAGGGCATTATTCTCTCCATTTTATACAAGAGAAATACTGGGGCTCATTTAAACATGTAAGAAGACAAAGGTAGGTAAATTATGAAGCTAGGAAGTGACAAAACTGACGTTCTAGACAAGGTTCACTTGTCTTCAAAATCGGTTCCTTTAACTATTTTGCTGCAGTAGAAACTATGGTTACTAGAACTTGCTGTGTGTTGAAAGAAAAGTTCCAAGAACATTCAGGTCAGATGTGGGATAACATAGAGGCCTACTCCCACAGGATGATGTGATCAGGACCTAGAATATAGCAATATTGCCAGGTGTGGCAAGAATGAGCATGATCAACAAGAGATTCAAGTATAGATACATGACATACTTAGGATGTTTGAGAAAGAGTAAAGACTGAGAAGACAAATCACAACTTTGATCCTGATTGATGTGCTGTTGTGTTGAAGAATTGTGCAAGTTAATATTTATACTGCAATCAAATTATTGACAATAGTATTCTCGAACCATAGCCATTATAAACAAATTATCTTAATTTTCTATCATGGGCACATGGAGCAAAAACATCATGAGGAAATGATATCTAGAGTTATATGATCACTGTCAGCTCTCAGCAGTTGAGCAACACTAACTGAGAAAAATTTGGAGGGAACATAAACATTCAGTCCATGACACTATCTTAATCAATTTTATGTATATAGTTCGGTACTGGTAAGTATTCACATTGTTGTGTAATAGAGCATCAGAACTTTTTCATCTGGCAAAACTAAAACTCAATACCCATTAAACAACTCTTCATTTTCCCCCCTCCCTACCCCTGGTAACTATCATTCTACTTTTTATTTCTATGAATTTGACCACTTTAGATACCTTATACAAATGGAATTACAAATGGAATCATACAATAATTATCTTTTTGCAACTGTTTCACTTAGCATAATGTACTTGTCTTAGTCCATTTGTGCTGCTATAACAGATACCACAGACTGGATAATTTATTTTTAAAAATATATGTTTTTCTTATTTCTGACAGTTTTTGAGGCTGGCAAGTCCAAGATAAAGGGGCTGAAATCTGGCACACCTTCTTGTTGCATCATCCCATGGTGAAAGGTGGAAGGGCAAGAGAGTAGATATATGGGAAAGAAAAGGGGGCCAAACTCATCCTTTTATAAGAAATCCACTTCCATGATAATGAACCCATTCCTCTGAGGAGGGCAGAACCCTGCAGCCTAATCACCTCTCATTCAGCCCCACCTCCCAACACTGTTGCATTGGAAATTATCCAACACATGCATTTTGGAGGACATATTCAATCCATAGCAAGGCTCAAGTTTCATCCATGTTATAGAATGTGACAGAATTTCTCTACTGTTCAAAACCTGAATCATATTGTGTTGTACACGTATACCTCTTTTTGTTTATTTGCTCATCCATCAATGAATACTTGAGTTGCGTCCCCCTTTTGGCTATTGTGACTAATGCTGCTATGGATGTGGTCTGGCAAATATCTCTTAGAGACCAATTTCAGCTCTTTGGGGTATATATCATGAAAGGGGATTGCTGGATCACATGGTAGTTCTATTTTTAATTTTTTGAGGAAACACTATACTATTTTCCTCAGTGGATAACATCATCTTACATTCCCATCAGTAGTGCACAGGGACTTTAATTTCTCTACATTCTTGCCAATACTCATTATTTTCTGCTACATATATTCTTAAATAAGGGTTTATAACATGCAACACCTTCTCTAAGGGGTTACCAAAAAAGTAACATGCAATGTAATTTGCTAGAAACACTCTGGGTATCAGAAAGTTAATCCACCAGAAAAATGACTGTGCTATTTCATGTATGTGCAAGGCATAAATTATGTGCTATGATCTTAAGAGACTTGGATATCCTTGGATATTCAATTAAAAAACTGATCCATGAGAAATTAACATTGTGTGTCTGTCATTTTTGTGCGAATTTCAATTTTCTGTATCCCAAAGCATCATGAGAGCAGAGGAGTGAGTGAGAAGCATTATTTTGAAAACATTTTAAATAAATATCCTAGATTGAATGCTGAAAATCTCCTGTAACACTAAGATTTGTTTTTAGTGAATGTTCCAGAAAACTTTTGCCCAAACCTAGGACGGTTAGTGATGTGGGAAATGATAAATCTGACACATTTTTCCCGTTCTGAGGTAACTCTTTAAAATGAAATAAATAGTCATGGCAGCTTATGCCGACCTGTTTCCTTTATGCTTCCAAAATTTCTTTGTTTAGTGCCAAAGAAAAGAAAAGTTTAAGGCTAGTGATTAATGACTATGCTGTATGAAGTTACACAGCATAATTTATGGGGTACCTTATCATGCAAGCACCTCAAGCTTTTTTATAATAAAATGGAAAAGCATATAAACACAGAACTCATCCATAAATTAAAAATCCAATATTCAGTGTTAAATTAGTTGAAGCAATAATGCAAAGCTTTTTTCATAACCCAAATATAAGTTTTTCTTTAACCAAAACTTTCCACCCCTAATAGATGTCTTGTTTATTTTCTTAAATCTTCATTTTTATCTTGAGTTTTTCTTGAATTTTTCTCATATTTACAGAATTAAACTCTTATATTCTTACCATTTGAAGCTTGTTAAAACCTTATAATAGAACAAACATACTTAACCCACAGGCATACAAATTTGCTGTTAGCAAATTTTGTTCATTTTTCATTGCTGTAGCTTGAAAGATTTGCAGGTATACGGGGAGAAATTTACAGATTGTAGTTTTTTATGTTCTTTTATCTCCAGATTTAATGCCTTTAGATCTAATCATAATCTTGTTATAACATTTTAGGTTTGTATAAGCTTTTGCAGAATATTTTGCATTAATTTTATCTTTGCATCCTCACAATTATTCTATGAAGAAAGAAGGGCAAGAATTTTTACAGATCCATTTATAGATAAGGAAATAAAGTAAGAGGACAATTCAATGACATCCCCAATGTCACTCAGTAATTTAGTGGTAAAAGCAAGGCTGGTGTTCTTGGCTGCTCAGTCTGATTTAATATGTGTCACATTGTATAATGTTCTAGACCACTCAGAAAATGTGACTGATTCAGAGGGATAATTTCCAATCATATGGATAGAGAAATACTACATTCCTCACATAACCATATTTAGATCATTTTTCTCTTGTTGCATCGGGCAAATGGTCTTCTATAATAAAGTAATTTTTTGGTGTCCAACTTTATGGTCTGGATAATGACAAAGGGAGAGCATCTGCCTTCTTTGGTGCTGTAGTCTTTGCACATTGGAGTCCTACAGCTTTTGAAGCTGACACAGGGACTGTAGGACACAGAGGTACTTATGTTGAATTATACTTTAAGTATGCAGTTTCCTTTTAAATGAGGTGGAAACTTCATATGTATGTCAAAAATGTTACCAGGAGTTTGGAACAGAGGGAAAGCGCCATGTAAGATACGGTCTTTGCTCATTTGGAGAAGATGAAACCATACAGAGAAGCCATGATGAAAACCTTTGGGCACAGAATAGGGGACGACTCATTCTGTATCAATAAACACAGGTTATTTCTTAGAGCAGGGCATTGTCTCTTTCATACCATGGGATATCATAGATTGGAAGTGAGAAGCTGGGAGTGGGAGAGAGACTATTTCGCTGTTCTCATACCTGGAACACAGGAAAATCAAGCTTTCCCTTCCCTATGCACACTGTGCTTGAAAAGATTGCCAGTGGCCATCATATTGCCAGACTGATGGGCAATTATCAGTCCTCCTTTTACACAACTTATTAGTAGCATTTTACACAGTTGCTTATTCAATCTCCCGGGAAAATTTTATTTCATTTAGCCTCCAGAATACCATTATCTCTTGGTTATTTTTCTCTCTCAATCTCCTGGTGGGAATTCTGCTCATTGTTCTGATCCCTATTCATTACGATGATTTGGCAATCAAACTTTCAATATCTATTCTTCTTTTTCAACACCATTTTTCTAGGCGACCCCTTCCAGTCCTATGGAAAACATTACCATTTGCATGCTGGTGACTTTCAAACTTGTATCTCTAGACAGCCATCTCCCCAGGCAAATAAAAGTGCTCAACATATGTTTGTTAGATGAATCGTGGGATGAATAAAATAAATGGCAAATGTGACTATAAAATATGTGAGTATAATTAAACTCATTAAATGTAAGAAACAAGTAGGTTTTACCATCTGAAGAAATACAGATCAAAACTTAGAAGGGCATGAAAAATCAGGTCTATTTAACACTAATTGATGACTATAAAACAAAAAGTAAATAGCATTTATTTTGCCAGTTTATTATGGCTTGTAAACCATAAAGTGGAAGAAAATTAACTAGAACTATAATTGTCTTCAACAAGTGATTGCACAGAAGCCAGCCATGGTTGCCTAGGACATTAAGCCACTCTCCATCATGTAATGAATGATAAAACAAATAATCGGATGTACAAACTAACTTTGCTACAGAAGAGAGAGCAATCTCTCTCTCTCTCTCTCTCTCTCTCTCTCTCTCTCTCTCTCTCTCTATATATATATATATATATATATATATATATATGGAGAGTAAGTGTTGTTCATATGGTTCAATAAACAAGCAAAGTAAAGGGGCCTCAGGACATGACATGGGGTATGTGGCCCACAGTGTGGCACACATTGGTGTTGTCTATCTGACTAAAGACACGGTGGGAAAGCAAATGTCTTGGGGCATGCTAACAGTGGGGCATAGTCAGAGCTTGTTCATCTCAGTGCAGGTCCGAATTCAATTATTACTTCTGAAGACTTTATAAAACCAATTTGCAATGCTAGGCTAATATCCTGTCAGTGTGAGATTTTTGCATGCAATCATTGTTTTAGCTCTGTTCTCCATGACTTTATTATTTGTCAAATTAATTTTTCCGCTGCATCTTCAAACGGGTTAGTGAATTAGTTTACTTGTTTCTTTGGTTTACTTGGTCTTGCTCTATACAACATTTTCTGCCTTTTGTTGTAGAGAGGTAAGAATTCCCCAAAAAGGCAAGCATGTTTCTCAGGGTGCAACTCCTCTTCCTATTTCCTCCCTAATATTTTCTGAAAACTAGCATCACTTCTGGTTATATTTGGAAATCAATCTATTGAATACCTTTGCAGCTGTGCTCTTGTCCAAGGTCTCAAAAGATGCCTTTTTCATGGGGAGAACAATGTAGATGCAAACAATATCAGTTATTCTTCACGAATGCTGCTACATTTTGAACTAAATACTTAAAAGTCTGCAAAGCCATTTTTTATATTTACCAATCAATCCCCTCTATATCCTTTGTAGGCATTTTGCCTCACTTTCAAATATGTACCCAAGCAGTGTGTATTTTATGGTCGACTCCTATAGAATTGTAAATCGGCACTTAGGTCTCCCTGGGGTGTAGGGGCAGACGTGTGCATCAGATTTTTAATGCATGTTCACACTCCGTTTCAAAAGAAAACACATCCAAATATTTGGACCTATGGGTTCTAGCTAGGCTAACCTTGTCCTCTTTCTTTTTTAGGCATTGATTGTGCTTTTGCCATTAATTTTCTTTAAAATTCTACTTCATTGGTTTCCAAAGTGTGCTGCACATTAGAATCACCTGGAGATCACTAAAAATTCTTGATGCTTGGCACCCACTCCCAGATATGATTCAATTGGTATGGGGTGAGAGCTAAGCATTGGGACTTTTAAGGCTCCCAGGTGATTCTAATAGGCAGCCAACCCTGAGAATCATCATTCTACTCTGTTGCTTTATGTAGGGCTAGTTATGAATAACAAAATGAGGCCGGGCGCGGTGGCTCATGCCTGTAATCCCAGCACTTTGGGAGGCTGAGGTGGGTGGATCGTGAGGTCAGGAGATCGAGACCATCCTGGCCAACATGGTGAAACCTCTTCTCTACTAAAAACACAAAAAAAATTAGCTGGGCGTGGTGGTGCGTGCCTGTAATCCCAGCTACTTTGGAGCCTGAAGCAGGAGAATTGCTTGAGTCAGGAGTTGGAGGTTGCAGTGAGCCGAGATCGCACCGCTGCACTCCAGCCTGGCGACAGAGCAAGACTCTGTCTCAAAATAAATAAATAAATAAAAATAAGAAATCACCAGACATTCCCTGGTTTGGAGTCTTCTTGAAATCCTTGAAGTAAGATGAATCTTCATTCATATACCATAACCGAAAAGATGGGTTTTTCAAGTACTCTTCTAGCATGAAAATTACTTGGCTTTACAACATTTCAACATTGCCAGAAGCTTCCAGACGAGTGAAACTTTCATGCGCATCTGTGTGAAGAGACCACCAAACAGGCTTTGTGTGAGCAATAAAGCTTTAAATCACCTGGGTGCGGGTGGGCTGAGTCCGAAAAGAGAGTCAGCGAAGGGAGATAAGGGTGGGGCCGTTTTATAGGATTTGGGTAGATAAAGGAAAATTACAGTCAAAGGGGGTTGTTCTCTGGCAGGCAGAGTGGAGGTCACAAGGTGCTCAGTAGGGGAGCTTTTGAGCCAGGATGAACCAGGAGAAGGAATTTCACAAGACAATGTCATCAGTTAAGGCAGGAACAGGCCATTTTCACTTATTTTGTGGTGGAATGTCATCAGTTAAGGCAGGAACTGGCCATCTGGATGTGTACATGCAGGTCACAGGGAATATGATGGCTTAGCTTGAGCTCAGAGGCCTGACATTCCTGTCTTCTTATATTAATAAGAAAAATAAAATGAAATAGTGGTAAAGTGTTGGGACATTGAAAATTCTTGGGGGTGGTATGGAGAGATAATAGGCGATGTTTCTCAGGGCTGCTTCGAGCGGGATTAGGGGCGGCGTGGGAACCTAGAGTGGGAGAGATTAAGCTGAAGGAAGATTTTGTGGTAAGGGGTGATATTGTGGGACTGTTAGAAGAAACATTTGTCATTTAGAATTATTGGTGATGGCCTGGATACGGTTTTGTATGAATTGAAAAACTAAACGGAATAAGAGAAAGAGAAAAACAGGTATTAAAGGTCTAAGAATTGGGAGGACCTAGGACATCTAATTAGAGTGCATAAGGAGATTCAGCATAGTCCTGTCAGTAAAGATTATTTATTTACTTCAAGAGTTAAGAGTGGCAGTTTGGGGATAGCACCAGGAGATATCAGCTATGATGGCTTGGAGAAACAGTGTAAACTGGCAGTGTAAACAAGAGCAGGGCATGTATGAGTAGTTGAGAACGGTGAATAGGAGTGTGACTAGACAGAAGATAGTAGGGATGACAAGTTTTTTGGGGCGCAGTCTAAGTTGGTCTGGTGTCTGGAATGAGACTGGGGCCAAATAAAAAGGAGCATCTATACAGGAGCTCAAATGGGCTGTACCCTGTAGCATTCTGAGGACAGGTCTGACTTCTGAGAAGGGAAAGTGGTAAAAGTATTGTCCAGTCCTTTTTAAGTTGGTGGCTGAGCTCGGTGAGGTGTGTTTTTAAAAGACCTTTAGTCCGTTTTACTTTTCCTAAAGATGGAGGACCGTAAGGGATATAAAGGTTTCACTGAATACTAAGAGCCTGAAAAACTGCTTGGCTGATTTGACTAATAAAGGCTGGTCTGTTATCAGACTGTATAGAGGTGGGAATGCTAAACTGAGGAATTATGTCTGACAGAAGGGAAGAAATGACTGCGGTGGCCTTCTCAGACCCTGTAGGAAAGGCCTGTACCTATCCAGTGAAAGTGTCTACCTAGACTAAGAGGTATTTTAGTTATCTGACTCAGGGCATGTTGAGTAAAGCTAATTTGCCAGTCCTGGGTGGGGGCAAATCCTTGAGCTTGATGTGTAGGGAAGGGAGGGGGCCTGAATAATCCTTAAGGAGTAGTAGAATAGCAGATGGAACACTGAGAAGTTATTTACTTGAGGATAGATTTCCACAATGGAAAGAAAATGAGAGGTTCTAAGAGGCGGGCTAGTGGCTTGTACTATAGCATAGCCTGCTTTGCTGGTGTGTGGCGATTAGACCTGGTGGAACTGCCATCAATAAATCAAGCATGATCAGGGTGAGGGACAGGAAAGAAGGAAATATGGGGAAATGGGGTGAATGTCAGGTGGATCAGACAGATACAGTCATGAGAATCAGGTGTGGTATCCAGAATAATGTGGGAGGCCGGATTGAAGTCCTGGCCAGGAACAATGGTAATTGTGGGACTTAACAAAGAGTGAGTACAGCTGAAGGAGCCAGGGAGCAGAAAGTATATGCATCAGATATGAGGAAGAAAATAGATTTTGGAAGTTATGAGAAATGTAGAGAATGAGTTGAGCATAGTTTGTGATTTTTAGGGCCTCTAAAAGTATTAAAGCAGTGGCAACTGCTGCACGCAGACATGAGGGCTAGGCTAAAACAGTAAGGTCAAGTTATTTGGACAGAAAGGCTACAGGGTGTGGTCCTGGCTCTTGTGTAAGAATTCTGACCACACTAACCATGCCTAGGAGGAAAAGGAGTTGTTGTTTTGTAAGGGATTGAGGTTTGGGAGATTAATTGGACACGATCAGCAGGGAGAGCATGTGTGTTTTTATGAGAATTATCCTGAGATAGGTAACAGATGAGGATGAAATTTGGGCTTGACTGAAGTAATGGGGGCTATCTGCGAAGCCTTGTGGCAGTACAGCCCAGGTAATTTGCTGAGCCGAATGGGTGTCAGGGTCAGTCTAAGTGAAAGTGAAGAGATGCTGGAATGAAGGGTGCAAAGGAATAGTAAAGAAAGCATGTTTGAGATCTAGAACAGAATAATGGGTTGTAGAGGGAGGTACTGAGGACAGGAGAGTATATGGGTTTGGCACCATGGGGTGGATAGGCAAAACAATTTTGTTGATAAGGCGCAGATCCTGAACTAACCTGTAAGCCTTTTCTGGTTTTAGGACAGGTAAAATGGGGGAATGGTAAGGAGAGTTTATAGGCTTTAAAAGGCCATGCTGTAACAGGCAAGTGATAACAGGCTTTAATCTTTGTAAAGCATGCTATGGGATGGGATACTGACATTGAGCAGGGTAAGCGTGATTAGGTTTTAATGGGATGGTAAGGGGTGCATGATCGGTCGCTAAGGAGGGAGTAGAGGTGTCTTATACTTGTGGGTTAAGGTGGGGAGATACAAGGGGAGGACGTGAAGGAGGCTTTGAACTGGGGGAAAAGGTGGCAATGAGGTGTGGCTGTAGCCTAGGAATAGTCAGGGAAGCAGATAATTTGGTTAAAGCGTCTCAGCCTAATAAGGGAACTGGGCAGGTGGGGATAACTAAAAAGAAGTGCTTAAAAGAGTATTCTCTAAGTTGGCACTAGAGTTGGGGAGTTTTAAGAGGTTTAGAAGCCTGGCCGTCAATACCCACAACAGTTATGGAGGCAAGGGAAACAGGCCCTTGAAAAGAAGGTAATTTGGAGTGGGTAGCCTCCATATTGACTAAGAAGGGGATGGACTTAGAGTGTCTGTGATGGTCCTGTAGGCTTCCAAGGTGATCGGGCAGTGTCAGTCTTCAGCTGCTAAGCCGAGAAGATCTGGGAAGGAGTCAGTCAGAGAGCCTTGGGCCAGAGTTCCAGGGGATCTGGGAGTGGTTGCCAAGTGAGTTGAACCGTCCAATTTCCAGTGGGGTCTTGCACAGATGGGACATGGCTTAGCAGGAATCCTGGGCTGCAGGCATTCCTTGGTCTGGTGGTCAGATTTCTGGCACTTGTAGCAAGCTTCTAGGGGAGGAGGTTCTGGAGGAATGCCTGGCCACTGCAGTTCAGGCGTTTGGAAGTTCTTGTATGCTGGAGATGTGGCTGGGGTTTGTCTCACAGTGGAGGCAAGGAATTGCAACTTTTTTCTATTATTGTACACCTTGAAGGCAAGGTTAATTAAATCCTGTTGTGGGGTTTGAGGGCCGGAATTTAATTTTTGGAGTTTTATTTAATGTCAGGAGCAGATTGTGTAATAAAATGTATATTGAGAATAAGACGGCCTTTTGACCTTTTAGGGTCTAGGGCTGTAAAGCGTCTCAGGGTTGCTGCTGAATGAGCCATGAACTGGGCTGGGTTTTTTATATTTGATGAAAAAGAGTCTAAATGCTAATTGATTTTGGAGAGGTCGGATAAAGAAAAAGGAGCATTAACCTTGACTATGCCTTTACTCCAGCCACCTTTTTAAGAGGAAATTGCTGGGCAGGTGGGGGTGGGCTAGTCACGGAACGAAACTGTAAGCCAGACCAGGTGTGAGGAGGGGAGGTGATAAAAGGATTATAGGGTGGGGGAGCAGAGGCTGAGGAAGAATTGGGACCTGGCTCAGCCTGTTGAGGAGGGGAGAGGTCAGATGGGTCTGTAGAAAAGGAAAATTAGAAAGACTCAGTGACGCTTGGGGTTGGGACTGAGGAGACAGGTGGGAGGGAAAGGGAGGATTTGAGATGAGTCGCATTGGGAACAGAGACTAGGGAGGGAACAATGTGTAAAAGAATGCCTGGACGTCAGGCACCTCAGACCGTTTGCCCATTTTATGATAAGAATTATCTAGATCTTGTAGGATGGAAAAATCGAAAGTGCCGTTTTCTGGCTATTTGGAACTACTGTCAAGTTTGTATTGGGGTCAAGTGGCATTGTAGAAAAAAATAAGGCATTTAGGTTTTAGGTCAGGTGTGAGTTGAAGAGGTTTTATGTTCTTAAGAACACAGGCTAAGGGAGAAGAAGGAGGAATGGAGGGTGAAATGTTGCCTATAGTGAAGGAGGCAAGTTTAAAGAAAAGGGAGAGTAGAGACATGGAGGGAAGCGGTTTGGGGGTTCTTACCCTCCAGAAAAGCAGGAAGGGGGTTGGGGCATGAAAACAAGGTGTTGGGGTGTAGAGATAAGAGGTCGGGGCGTGGAAATAAGGGATTGGGGCACAGAGATAAGAGGTCGGGGTGTGGAAATAAGGGATTGGGGCACAGAAATAAGAGGTCGGGATGCGGAAATAAGGGATTGGGGCGCAGAGATATAAGAGGTCAGGGCGCAGAAATAAGGGATTGGGACACAGAGATACGAGGTTGGGGTACTTGCCCCTCCCCCAGAAAAGCGGGACTTGCTGCTAAGGGTGAAGGAGAAGGGGTTGGGGGTTTCTTGCCCCCCAGAAAGGTGGAGAAGGGGTAGAGACATGGAGAGAAGGGGTTGGGGTACTTGCCCCTCCCCTAGAAAAGCCGGACTTGCCACTAAGATTGAAGGAGAAGGGGTTGGGGGTTTCTTCCCCCCAGGGAGGCGGAGAAGGGGTAGAGACATGGAGAGAAGGGGTTGGGGTACTTGCCCCTCCCCCAGAAAAGTGGGACTTGCTGCTAAGGGTGAAAGACCAAGGCAGGCATCCCTGCATGGTCTGACACCTCTGAAACCTGGGTGAATAATCAGAGAGGCATCCCTGCAATGATTAAACACCAAGGGAAGCCTGCCTTCCCTAGTCCGTGACCGGTGCTGGAGTTTTGGGTGCACAGATAAAACGTGTCTCCTTTGTCTCTACCAGAAAATGAAAGGAATTGAAATTAAAAGAAGGGAGAGATTGAAGTGTGGCACCAAGACTGAAAGGAGAAAGAAGTTGAGGGATAGTGAAGGAGGTTGGAGAAGAGAGTAAAAAGAGGCTGCTTACTGGATTTGAAATTGGTGAGATGTTTCTTGGACTGGTCGGTCTGAGGACTTGAGATCATAGGTGGACGTTTCTCATGGAGCAAAGAGCAGGAGGTCAGGGGATTGATCTCCCAAGGGAGGCCCCCCAATCTGAGTCATGGCACCAAATTTCATGCGCATCCGTGTGAAGAGAAAACCAAACAGGCTTTGTGTGAGCAATAAAGCTTTTAATCACCTGGGTGCAGCAGGCTGAGTCCAAAAAGAGAGTCAGTGAAGGGAGATAAGGGTGGGGCCGTTTTATAGGATTTGGGTAGATAAAGGAAAATTACAGTCAAAGGGGGTTGTTCTCTGGCGGGCAGAGTGGGGGTCACAAGGTGCTCAGTAGGGGAGCTTTTGAGCCAGGATGAACCAGGAGAAGGAATTTCACAAGACAATGTCATCAGTTAAGGCAGAAACAGGCCATTTTCACTTCTTTTGTGGTGGAATGTCATCAGTTAAGGCAGGAACCGGCCATCTGGATGTGTACGTGCAGGTCACGGGGGACATGATGGCTTAACTTGGGCTCAGAGGCCTCACAGAAACCTCTTGTGAGCCTTGTGTATTTGAGACATTAGTTGGAAATTAGGTGCTGTGTTGAGACTGCACCAAAGTCTTTTAGATAATATTCATACAAATTTTCTAGCTTGAGTTTGTTACTTTCTTTATGACTTTCTTTAATCTTAATTTCTTGTTTCTGGAGGCTACAAATATTAGAGAAAAAAACAAAAACAAAAGTAAGTAAAAACAAAAACAAACTACAATTGCTTCGGTGCTGGGATAGCCTGTTAGGAGAGCATGAAGGACTTATGTTAAATTTCACTACTGATTTATTGAAACAAGCTTTAATTGTAATTTGTTTTGATTGGATGAGAATTTAAATTACATCTGGGAAAGTTATTAAGTCAAACATATAGAAATTCCTCTAAGATGTAATATGACCCTTCTCTGTGGCAAATGTGCCTGAAAAATGTATCCCATTTCTTTTAAGCACTAAACAAAAGCAGTCATTATTTAGAAGAACCAAGACGAAAGGTATGTGAATAAGAAGGATTTTTCTTCTAACACTAAATAGTTCACATAGTCCCTTGAACTGAAGTGCAACTCTTTTGTGGTCTGAATTAATTTTCTCTTGGGGGAAAAATAATCTGCTACTTTTTAATTTTAAAACTAAAAAAGTGATCTTCTGTTTGGCCAAAAAAGTTCAAAACAATTAGAGTGAATGTCTAAATGAGTAAGAAATTAGTTATTTGTTTTTCTTGTGAAAACAACATGCTGAGTTAGAAAAAATAAAAGGATAATATTATTTCAGAGAAGGTAGGTACAATTACCTCTCAGTAAGCAGTCTTCTAGAATGCCTAATCTGAAGTTAGGGTTCAGTAAGAAGAGAGACACATCTCGACTTTCCAGAACCTAACCACACCTCATTGGGCTCTTTTTCACATTTAGATTTAGAAGATGTTTCTGCATTAGCAGGAACTGTTTGAGGAAAAGTTAAAGAAATTTTTTCAACTGAGATGCTATTTGAAATTAGTAATTCTATTATTTCTTTAAATTCCTATTCTGCTTCTTTAATTTAGATCAGATAACTCTGACTTTTTAGAGAAAATTTAAGTTATTTCCTAAAGCAAGAATTTTAAAAATTGTTTTTTAAACACAGGCTTTTAAGTAATTAGGGTTACTGAATTGCCAAGATGGAAGAGAACCTCCTGTGTCATCAAACTTTAATATCTGCCACCCCTATTTAAAATTATTATATTTATCTTGGGAGTAAGTTTAAAACTTTACTTGACACAAAAAAGTGATAGGTAAATAGAAAATGACAAATTTTCTCTAGAATTCTAGATTATTTTATCTTACAACTACCGGTATTTAAAAACATTGAATGAGCCAATACTTTGAATAACTGAAAATTGTGGTAAAATAAGAAAACAAGGATCTAGAAGCAGAAATACCATTTGACCCAGCAATCCCATTACTGGGTATGTACCCAAAGGAGTATAAATCATTCCACTATAAAAGCACATGCACACGTATGTTTATTGTGGCACTCTTCACAATAGCAAAGACTCGGGACCAACCCAAATGCCCATCAATGATAGACTGGATAAAGAAAATGTGGCACATATGCACCGTGGAGTACTATGCAGCCATAAAAAAGAATGCATTCATGTCCTTTGCAGGGACATGGATGAAGCTGGAAACCATTATGCTCAGCAAACTAACACAGGAACAGAAAACCAAACACTGCATGTTCTCACTCATAAGTGAGAGTTGAGCAATGAGAACACATGGACACAGGGAGGGGAACATCACACACTGGGGCCTGTCAGGGGATGAGGGAGAAGGGGGGAGAGAGCATTAGAACAAATAGCTAATGGATGTGGGGCTTAAAACTTAGATGATAGATTGATAGGTGCAGCAAACCACCATGGCACATGTATACCTATGTAACACACCTGCTCATTCAGCACATGTATCCCAGAACTTAAAGTAAAATAAAAATAAATAAATAAATAGAAAAAATATTTCTAGTCTATTTTTAAAATAAAAGGCTTCTAGTATTTACTACATATTAGAATCACCTGGGAAGCTTTAAAAATCCCAGTGCTCAGCTCTCACTCCATACCAATTAAATCATAAAAGAACTGAAAGTAATTTGTTTAATTTTATATACAGAATATATATAATTTACATATATGTAGAAATATATTTCTAACGCATATATATTTCTAATGCACATACATTGAAATATATTTCTACATATATATGCAAACTGATCTATTTGTGGCACAAAAGTTATGTACACGTATGCCATAGCAAAGTACCACTAAAGAGTGACATAAACAACAGAAATATATTGTCTCACAGTTCTGGAGCCTAAATGTCCAAGATAAAGGTGTCAGCAAGTTTGCTTCCTTCTGAGGCAGTGAGAAAGAATCTGATGCATGCCTCTCTCAGTTTCTGCTGGTTTAATGTGATCTTTGGCATTCCTTGACTTGTAGAAGCATCACTCCATGTCTGCTTTTCTTCACATGGCGTTCTGTCTGTGTGAGTGTCTGTTTCTAGGTCCAAATTTCCCTTTTTTGTAAGGACCAGTCATATTGAATTAAATCCACCCTAATGATTTCATTCTAGGTTGATTACCTCTGTTCAGAAATCATGACTGGTGATATTTGAGTAGGGGAAAGACTACGCTCAAGGTAGAGAAATTTGCTTCTGTAGACTTCCAAGCTGAAACTAACCCAAACCACAGGAGGAGAAGAGTTTAACTGTAAATAAAGATTAGAATGTTCACTATTATATAGGATTTAATATAATTTTAGTATGGATATAAGATTATTTTGTGACTAAATATAAACAAAGAACTTAAAAATCGTTAAATATTGACTGGAAAATTTTGAGGCATGGCCATATTATGAAAAAGACAACAAAATAGCTTAAGTATTTGAGTTTAAAGGTGGACTGAGAAAGAAAAATTGTTTTTTGTTGAATTCTATGGAATTCTACTTTTTGACTTTGTGATATTTCTAGGAATGTTAACTGTTTTATATTAAGAAATGTTTTTTTACTAAATACTTCTAAACACATACTGTGTCTGGCCCAATGCTAAGCATTTAGGGATCATTATTTTAAATTCTCACTAAAAACTTGCAGGTATTATTAAGTATTATTACTTTACTAACCACAGAAAGATTAAATAACTTAGCCAAATTGCTCAAATTCTGCCTGGGTCCATATTTTTCTATAAACCAAATACTCTATAATCACTTTCCATAACTCTTTCTCAAAAGTAAAGAAAATGGCTTAGTGCTTTTCCTACAGTGAATGATCAACAAATATTGAAGTAAATTGAATATAATCAGGCTTAGAAGCTGAAGCAGTGATGAAAAATTGTGATAATAGTCGTTGCTTATTATTACATGTTAGGAGATAAATTACATATTAGGAGATAAAACAGTTGTTCAAATATCATTTAAGCAGCTGATCTGGCCCTTTCCTCAGTTTTCAAATATTTCAGACTTTTTGCACCTATAAAATCATCACACCCAAATGTTATACTTACCAATGCAATAATTTCTAGCTGGTGACAAATTCACATCAAGCATTTTTAATATTTGAAATATTTTGGAATTGAAAAACTCCACAGAATATTATTTTTTAAAAGAATAATTTGTGTTTGTTTGCCTGAGAGGGGAAAAATATTTTCAGGAGAAAGCAGAGGGAGTAAAAGAGGAAAAAACTGCTCTATATTGAAGTTCTAAAAATGGGGTTACCTTTATGTTACCTTTATTCTGACTTGGAAGTATGTTTCAGAATATAAAATTTGGGATTGCTGCAAGCCAGTACCAACTGAAGGAATATTAGCATTTATAACTCAGGATGGAATTTACTACTAGTCTTCTGCTATGATTCCAGTGATTCTGAATGACCCAGTTTGTACATGGTAACTCTACACACCCACACACAAACCCACAGACACTATATATATAACTCCAAAAGTGAAAAAAGACATTTTTCCTTATCTACCTTACAAAATGGCTATGAGGATTAAATAACTTATATAATCATCTATACGTGAGAAAGCAGTACAATTCTTACTTGAGGCCTAACTCATATACACAGGTATCCACATAAACATATCATATATTTATATGTGTGGTTTAATTTCATTGAATGCCCTAGACTATACTTAGTATAAAAAATATATTTAAGTTATAATCTACTGGAGGGACAAGATTTATTTTCAAGGGTCTCTTGAGATAATATAAGAGAATATACTTTGGTAACGTATAGAAGCAATGCAGATATACATGACCACAGTGTTTCCTCCTGCTGTGAAAGTGTCTCATTACTATTGCTCTGAAAAACACAAATTCAGGATTAAGGAACCTGTGTACTGTTCCCTAGGGATTCCTTTTGCCTGGTAGCTGGAGACAGTGCTAACAGCTCACATTATTTATATATGAATTCTTTCCTCCAGTGTCTCCTCTGTGCTTTGCCATTCTCTTAACTTCTCCAATTAATTATGGCCAGAGCCTATTGACGAGCTGCCTGGCTTTCCTTCTCTAAAACTTCCCTGCTTTGGTTTCTGTGCTGTTATTTCCACAAGTCACCTGTGTATTCTGAGATTATGCCTCTGACATCTTTCCTGACTGCTCTCCAGCCTTGGCCCTCTTGGTTAGGTTGAACTATTAAGTGAGGATCTTTAGTTTTCTTTCTCCCAGAAGTAGACTCTGAGAGAAGGAATTTGAGTGCAAAGAGTTCAATGGGAGATAATCTCAGGAAACATTGGTAGGAAGGTTTGGAAGGGAGTAAAAGAAGGAAGCCAATAAAAGTGAGTTATTAAGCAAATTATCAATGCCTAGTCCTTTGGAGAACTCTGAGAAACAGTGTAGAACATTCCTTCAAGTACCTCTTTTGGCAGGGCAAGGAAGCTGTGTTATGTACCCAACAACCCTTATCCAGCATTTGTTGAGGGTAGTTCCCAGGGCAGGATAGCTCCTCAGCACTTTTTACCTATCCAGGGTATGAACAGAGTGTACATTAATGTCCAGAGAAATTATATTAAATTCAAGTGAAAAATACTAGACTTACAGCGATTGGTATATGAAGCGTTTAGTAATTGATTGGAAGAGAATAAAAAAATATAGCCCTAAGAGAACTTTGAGTTTGTGAAGCAGGCTGTGTAGTTAAATGAAGAAGATAATTTAGTTTTAATCCAGTGAATTTGATTATTTTGTCAGGCTTGTAGTAAATTGTAATGAGGATGATAGTGTGTTGTAATCCTGTGATGGTGTTTTATATGAGACATAAAGGCTTCTCTATGACCCTCCTGCATGTGCCAACATTCTGTAGGCATAATTAATTATAATGTGGACTCTCAAATTCTAATGTGGGATGGAGGATTTTATGAAGTACAAGGAAAATAGTCAGCCAGCACCCTTTATGCTGGTTCCATTAAGAGTTTTGAGAAGTTTTAACATCTGATTCCATAAAATTTTCAGGTTGAACCATCAGTAACCATAATATTCCTGACAACCCTGAATGCAATAGCCCATTTCATTTTCTATGTAAAGAGACGGGCACCTCTAACTTGCCTGCATCTCTTTGTTTTATTCCCCTTGGTGTCTGGTTTATCACACACACAGATTTTAATTTTGTCCTAGATGACATCTTGGTTCAATGACCCTTTTTAAGATGCTAGTTTTGTTTTAATTTGTGCTGATAAAAATCATATTTCTGTATTTCAGAAAGTTGAATAGAATTGAACTTGATCTTTAGCTAGAAATCTTCCTTCTAGCTCGATTGGTTTCATTTGTGTTTCACTTCTTGTGCATATTTATTATTCAAATAAACTACATTGAGGTATAATTCATGTTTAATAAGTGATATCCATTTAAATTGTAGAATTTGGTAACCTTTGTTGGTTGTATATGGGGAAACTACCACCACAATAGAGATACTGATCATTTCCATTACCTCCAAAAATTTCATCTGGCCCTTTGCAGCCCTCCCACCCTCCTTGCCCAGTCCCAGGCAACCACTGATTTGCTTTGCATCCTCATAGATTAGTTTGCATTTTCTAGAATTTTATATAAATTGAATCATACAGTATATGCTCCTTTGTATCTGGCCACTTTCACTTATCCAATGACCCTAAAATGAAATAGAAAATAAAATTTTAACTTTAAATGTTAAGGTTGATAAATAAACACTGACAGCTTCAGTTTAGAGTACCCATAGCAAATTCATGAATATCTGTTCTGGTGTATACTACTAATTTGAAGGATAATCATTTATGAGCTTAAGTGAGAGGTGTCTTATGTACAGATATTCATATGTCAAAATATTGAATGAGCCTGTGTTCTCTCTACAGAATATAACATTCTGTGGAAAGCTTAAAATCTTAAATAATGCCTATATATTTATGCACACAGATATAATAGGTTATCTATAAAATATATACATAAAGGTATATGAAGGTATACAAATACATATAAAGATGTGTGTATATATAGGTATATGTGCATGTATTTGTGTGATAATGTAAAACATAAAATATACTTCAAAAAAATTATTCTGTCCCCCAAAGATTCTGCTATCGCCCCAGTTTGTTTTCCCTATTTCCTCTTTTAGTTTACAATGAAGCCTGCCTGCAACTGAACCTTTACTCTTCTTCCTTCCCTCTCACTCTTCTCCAGCTCTGTGACTTTGTTGTGTTTTACATGTCAGTAAATGGCACCCTCCTATACTTTGTAATTTCAACCAGAAACCAAAGAAAGATTCTGACACCTTATTCTCAGACACATTCTACAAGGTGAGTGCAAAAATTGCGTTTTTTGCATTGTTGGAATTTGCTGTTTGATCATGGAATACATTCTTAAATAAATGTGGTTATCTTATATATCATTTTAATGGGCATTTCTTGCATTATTATATATATATTTTTTTTGCTAATGACATTACTTGCTGTTTATTTTGTGCTTATTTTAGACTATGGAAATTAGGTTAGACAAAAGGCAAATTCCAGCAGTTTTCTTATTCGAGTTAAAAATGGGTAGTAAGGCTGTGGAGATAGCTTGCAACATCAACAGTGCATTTGGCCCAGGAACTGCAGTGGTGGTTCGAGAAGTTTTGCAAAGGAGACGAGAGCCTTGAAGATGAGGAGCATAGTCGCCGGCCATCAGAAGTTGACAGTGACCAATTGAGAGCAATCATCAAAGCTGATCTTCCTTTTTTTTTTTTAAATTATACTTTAAGTTTTAGGGTACATGTGCACAACGTGCAGGTTTGTTACATATGTATACATGTGCCATGTTGGTGTGCTGTACCTATTAACCCGTCATTTAACATTAGGTATATCTCCTAATGCTGTCCCTCCCCGATCTTAAGTTTTAGGGTACATGTGCACAACGTGCAGGTTAGTTACATATGTATACATGTGCCATGTTGGTGTGCTGTACCTATTAACCCGTCATTTAACATTAGGTATATCTCCTAATGCTATCCCTCCCTGATCTTCTTACAACTACTTGGGAAGTTGCCAAATAACTCAACGTTGACCATTCTACAGTTATTTGGCATTTGAAGCAAATTGGAGAGGTAAAAAAGTTTGATAAGTGGGTGCCTCGTGAGCTCAGCCAAAAAAAAAAAAAAAAAGTCCTTTTGAAGTGTTGTATTCTCTTATTCTATGCAACAACAATGAGCCATTTCTCAATCGAATTGTGACATGCAATGAAAAGTGGATTTTATATGACAATCAGCAATGACCAGCTCAGCGGTTGGACTGAGAAGAAGCTCCAAAGCACTTCCCAAAGCCAAACTTGCACCAAAAAAAAAAGTCATGGTCACTGTTTGGAGGTCTGCTGCCGGTCTGATCCACTACGGCTTTCTGAATCCAGACAAAACCATTACATCTGAGAAGTATGCTCAGCAAATGGATGAGATGCACTGAAAACTGCAATGCCTGCAGCTGGCATTGGTCAACAGAAAGGGCTTAATTCGTCTCCAGGACAATGCCTGACCGCACCTGGCACAACCAATGCTTCAAAAGTTGAACGAATTGGGCTACGAAGTTTTGCTTCATCCCCCATATTCGCCTGACCTCTCTTCAATGGACTACTACTTCTTCAAGCGTCTCGACAACTTTTTGCAGAGAAAATGCTTCCACAACCAGCAGGATACAGAAAATGGTTTCCAAGAGTTCGTCAAATCCCAAAGCATGGATGTTTATGCTACAGAAATAAACATACTTACTTCTCATTGGCAAAACCTTGTTGATTGCACTGGTTTCTATTTTGATTAATAAAGATGTGTCTGAGCCTAGTTATAGTGATTTAAAGTCCATGGTCCAAAACTGCAATTACTTTCACACCAACTTAATACATCTAGTCTATTACTGGGTCTAAGGATGCTTCCTTCAGAGTAGGTGTTGAACGCATCCACTTCCTTCCACATCTTTGGTCTAGTCTAAGTCACCACCATGCCTCACTAGACCGTGGCAGTTTCCTACTAACTAGTTTGTACGCTATATATAAGTATGTATACTCTCATATACACTGTTACACTCTACATAGAACTGTCCCAAGTTATTCCTTCTGAAATATAGATCTAATGATTTCACCCCCGTTGCCTAAAACAGTTCAATGACACTTTCATTACACTTGAAATAAATTAAAAATTATTTACACAGCCTATATGATCTTGTTGCTGCCTGCATCCCCAGCTATGTCTCTTTCTTCTCTTCCCTTGTCGTAGTCAACACTAGCTTCATTGCCCTTCTCTCAGTTCTTCAGCTACTCCAACTTCTCTTCCACCTCAAGACCTTTGCCTCAGAATGTTTATTTTTCTATTCATCATTAGCTAATTTGTATTAGTCTTTCAGGTTAAAGTTTAAATTCTACTACTTCTCCAGCCTAAATCAGATCTCCTCTTCAATTATTTCACTATGCAATTTATGGCACAGTTGAATGCCTTGTTTAATGTCCATTTCCCTCATAGGATTTTAAGCTCGCTAAGGTCAAGGATTGTGTACAGCTTTCCCCGATGTAACCCTGGTGCCTGTCACACGGCTGGCTCTGCACTGAGCATTTCATAATTATTTGTTATATCATCAGTGATTAAAATTCTTATTAATAAGCTTGTGTTATATATACCTATTTGGAATAAGATGTCAAGTGTAAACATGATATAAATCCCATGGGGATTCTCAGATAATCCTGTATTACAGGAAAGTACCAGAACTATTTCTTTTTGAGTCTTATCTTTTTGTTACATTTATCTTTCCAACCTGTGCTTAAGGTCTTTTGGGAGCTCTTGTCCTTCTGAGTTTGATTCTTCCCATTTCTTTAAAAGGTGTTACCTTTCATTTATTAGGCTGTCCATACCCAATACTGATGAGATATAGTGACTTTTGTCCCCTGAGTTCCTGGCAACAGTAAATTTAAAAAGAACTATCTTGCTCATATTGAGACATCTACTTTCAATTAAATAAAATTGGAGTTTACCCTCTTCTGTCTGTTTCCAAGCCCAGTATTACTTAAGAACCACAAAGCCAGCCACAAGTTGTACCCACTTCTGGATGCAACTTTATCATTTCATGGTTAGGACTTGTTCCTAACTTTCTTGAGTTTTGCTTCTTCTTACATAATTGGCAGCTGCAATGGGAGAAATATTGTTCACTGGTCTAACAACAACTGCAAAATAAGATTACTTCATATGGTGCTAAAAGTGGCTTTTATGCTTCTGTGACAGTTTCCTGTCTAATAAGAGAGATTTCTTAGGCAAAAAGAAGACCCTTAGGCTCACAAAGGCCCTTTGCTCTCTGGACATCCCTAACACATTTCTGCTTGCTTCCTTGAAGCCCCTCTCCCACTTCCTAGTCAGAGAAAACATTTCTGCACAATGATCCTTAATTAAGATACCGTCCCCAGAAGCTGTCAGCTGCTGTGGTTTAGAACTGAAGAAATATCTCATAAGGAAAACCGCTATAAAACAGCTATACATAACCATAACAATTAAATAACATTATTGACATGGTTATGATAATCCACTAAGAAGTGTCTTATCTGCTTTTTTTAATTATACTTTAAGTTCTGGGATACACGTGCAGAAAGTGCAGGTTTGTTACATAGGTATACATGTGCCATGGTTGTTTTCTGCACCCACCAAGACGTCATCTACATTAGGTATTTCTTCTAATACTATCCCTCCTCCCATTCCCCAACCCCCACTCCCTGACAGGCCCCAGTGTGTGACGTTCCCCTCCTTGTGTCTATGTGTTCTCATTGTTCAACTCCCACTTATGAGTAAGAAAATGCGGTGTTTGGTTTTTTGTCCTTGTGATATTTTGCTGAGAATGATGGTTTACAGCTTCATCCGTGTCCCTACAAAGGGCATGAACTCATTCTTTTTTATGGCTGCATAGTGTTCCACGGCATATAGGTGCCACATTTTCTTTATCCAGTCTATCACTGATGGGCATTTGGGTTGATCCCAAGTTTTTGCTATTGTGAAGAGTGTCGCAATAAACATATGTGTGCATGTGTCTTTATAGTAGAATGATGTATAATCCTTTGGGTACATACCCAGTAATGGGATGCTGGGTCAAATGGTTTTTCTAATTCTAGATCCTTGAGGAATCGCCACACTGTCTTCCACAATGGTTGAACTAATTTACACTCCTACCAACAGTGTAAAAGCGCTCCTATTTCTCCACATCCTCTCCAGCATCTGTTGTTTCCTAACATTTTAATGATCGCCATTCTAACTGGCATTAAGATGGTATCTCATTGTGGTTTTGATTTGCATTTCCCTAATGACCAGTGATGATGAGCCTTTTTTCATATGTTTGTTGGCCGCATAGATGTCTTCTTTTGAGAAGTGTCTTATCATATCCTTTGCCCACTTTTTGATGGGGTTGTTGTTTTCTTGTAAATTTGTTCAAGTTCTTTGTAGACTCTGGATATTAGCCCTTTGTCAGATTGATAGTTTGCAAAAATTTTCTCCCATTCTATAGGTTGTCGGTTCACTCTGATGAGTTTCTTTTGCCGTGCAGAAGCTCTTTAGTTTAATTAGATCGCATTTGTCAATTTTGGCTTTTGTTGCCATCGCTTTTGGTGTTTTAGTCAACATCTTCTTTTTAATAATCATTTGAGAGAAGATTCAACATGGATAAGTAGAATCTTAACCCTGGTACACAAAAGAAAATAGATAAGTAGATGTCTTTTAAAAGTTCCTTTCAGACTTTTGAATATGTGATAAAACAGTCTTTTTGGTGTTCGCCCTATGATGATGATGATTGTTATTATTAGTAGTAGTATTATGATATTCACCACCATTTATTGCGTGCTCACAGTAAAATTCTTAACTAAACATTTTAAAATTATAATCCAGTTAATTTTTTTAAACCAGTCCTAGAAGGTAGACATTATTATCTGTATTTACAGATGAGAAAATAGAAACTTAGAAAGGCTAAAAGAATTGTTACCACCATCACTCTTCTCAAATCTATCTTCAGATCCGTATTACTTTATTGCCAGAAAACCTGAAGGTTTTAAATAAATATCTTCAAATTATTTTAAAAATTGTAGGAGTTTGTATCTGCAGGTCAAAGAAACACCTTTCATATTTTTTTCCCTCAAATTGTAAAATAGAAAGAGCAATGGTCTGTTACTCATGACAGCTAATTTCCATAGCTAGTACTTGGCTCATGAGAATGGGAGTTTTGCATTAAAATTCGGCCTTCTGTTTTCTTATTTGAACATTTTGAAACTGGATAGTTTCTAAGGTCCTACAACTCTATGAATCTAAAGTGGCTGAAGATATTTAAATTTCTATCTTGAGAATGGAATAGCAGAGTGAATCTTCTATCTTATATCAGCCCTCATAGGCACATCTCTATGTGAAGCTTTTGATCATTTCATGAGTGGCAAAATGATACTTACCTTTAAATTTCTGCTGGCTATTTTCAATCACAACCCACTTCTTGAGTAATGCCTCATGCAGTTTCATAACAGCATCAGGATGCCAGTTAGAGCAACAATATTGCCCTGCTAGCTGATTATCAGTGTCAGGAGATGAGGCAGAATCCTGTTGCTTGATCAAGATGTTTAAAATCCCATTCTGCACAAACGGAAATGCTCAGAAGGATATAATAAGAGGTAACAGTAATTTTTAGATTGCCTGTCAACCCTAAGCCCATTTCTATCCATCATGGAAATGATATAACTTTCACTTCTCATGCTTTTCTGATTTGCATAACCAACAGCATCAATACCACCCACAATTTTTATCCAGCTTCCCACTAAAGCAGAGACTTGAATTGCAATGCCTTAACACATTCTAGTCTAGATCTATTCCACTCCTTTTTTTAAAAAATGGAGTTATAAGTTATAACTCAACTACCAGTTAAGCACAGAAGTCAGTAACAAAATGGAATACCAAATGAAAAGTTTACATATTACATCCAGCAATACTTTTGGTAGAAAGTATATTTTTTGTGCAGTTTTATGAAACCACAGAAGCCATCTTGTTATATTCTTTATTATCTGGCTTTAATTTGCTAATCCTTATAGAATTCCCACTTAGCAAGTATGAGTGAAGAAAAATAGCTGCTTTCATGTTAGTGGATTCAGTGTCTCAATTAAACATTGTATATAATTATTATTTCCTAAAGATAGATTTATTTAAAAACATGCATGAGTTGAGATCTAAAGGGTAATGAATTTGTAAGCTGTTCTTTGAAAAGCTTTGAAAGAAAGCTCATAGAGAGGGAAGAAGTTGTGTCATTAGGGGAAAGCTGGCTGGCCTCCCAATCAGGTCCTCTAAAAATGGCTTTTTCTCAGTGGATTTGCTACAGTTCAGTTTGATGCTGTCAGCCTTAGAAGCCAAGTCTTGTCAGTGTCTTGAAGTGCTCAAACTCAGGCTGCTGTTTTCTGCTAGGAAAACTCACAAGAGACCAAGGTACAAAAACAGAGTGTCAATTCTTTAGTTAATAAGAAATATGACTTGTAATTTGAACTGCCCTTTCACCATCCAAAGCCAAAAAACCTTCACTTATCCACTATATCCTATTCTTTCTCACTGACTTAAGTACTTGGCTCTTGCAATTTTCCTGCTTTCTCCTCTATCAACAAGTTTTCCTTCATTATTGAGTCATTGTCTTTATCAATAAGAATACTACAATATCTTCCATCTTAACAAAACTTTTCTTTGATCTTATATTCCCCTCCATGTAACACCTCATTTCTCTGCTTCCTCTCCTGGCAAAACTCCTTGAAGAAGTCTCCACTTCTATGCCTCCTACTTTCTCTTCAAGCCACTCCAAATAGGGTCTCCTCTTTATAATTCCACTGAAATCAAATATAATAGAAAAGTATAAAAAGAAAAATGGTTTAGCATTGTAAATGGCATGTCTTCTCCTAAAAAGAAGAATCTATATTTTAAAAAAATTATCATTTTAAGTTTCCATTAAAAAAAAGGTAATCACTTTTTCAGTAAATAACTTGGCTAATTTATACAAAAGTTCAGACAAAATTCTTTTCCTAAGTTCCTTCTGTTTACTAAACAGTCAATTAGGAAACTGCTGTGCAGATATCTGTACTATTCCTGTAATTCATTCGTGATACACACAGATCCTTTCCAGGGTTCAATTACATAAAATAAAACCCTCAACTGTTTGTGTCACATTAGTCTCAATGGCTCACTGCAGAACCCTCTACATTTTTGCATTGGAGAAGGGTTCTCCCATAGAATGTCACAGTAATACAGGCTTTGCTTAGTGACTAATTAGCAATGAGTACAATTCAGTCATTTTTCTGTTCTGAGATTCACTTTATTGGAGGTAACTAGCAACCTTCATTTTTCCAAATTCAAAGGTACAATTTTTGTCTTCATTTTACTCAACCTGTTAACAGCATTTGACATGGTTGACCATGACCAAATATTTTTCTTCTCTTCTCTGGGCTACCAAATTACCAAATTAGCCACTTTATCTCAAATTCTTTTGAAGAGTCTTATTCCACTCTACTCCTTCTACATGATGGAGTGCTCCTGGGATCATTCTTGTTTCTTTTCTCATTTCTATGTTTTCTCACCAAATGATGGCTTCCAATCTCCCATGACTTTAAATACCAACTATAACCTTCATGTCTTCCAAATTTACATCTCCTGTTTCAACCTCACCTCTGAACTTTATGGTAATCAGTATGACCTTTAGACCCAAAATATACAGAATAAAGCAATGGAGTTATAAGTGACCTGCACAGCAAAGTCAATGTTACCTTATTTGTATGGTAAGTGTTATATAGGATACAGAAATATCTGAATGCCCCTAAATTAAGCCAGCCACTTGCCCTGGATTAGGCTGGATAGTTTCAGGTGCTGATAACCTTGGTTCTTCAAAGGGCAAGAGTTTCGGGAAATATTCTGCTTGCTTGCCATTTTTGTTGTTGTTGTTGTTGTTGTTAATCATTCACAGACTTATTACTCATTGTTAACTGTCACGAGTCACTTGAAATAAGGTATTTTATTGGGGTTCTAACATTTTAGGGGTAGCTCTGATACAAACATGACTGATTGAATGACTTACATTGCCACTTTGATGACTAATAGGCATCTCGAACATAAGACACTCAAAAACAAAGCAAACCTGTTGTTGTCTCAATCTTCTCCATCTCAGTAAGTAGCACCACCAACTCCAATTACTCAGCTCCCAAATTTACACCTTTTCCTTGGAGATTTTTTCCCTCCTCTTCCTACTTACAATCAATCCATCTGCAATTTTTATTAGCTTCTACTTCCAGAATATATCCTGAATATGAGTACTTTTCACAATTCCCATTGCCTCTACCCTAGGCCAAGTCACTGTCTTTTCTAAGACTACTTCGATGTTTTTTAAAACTGTGCTTCACAAACTTGTATATATGAATCATCTCGCAATATTAAATGCAGATTCCAATTTACTCATTCTTGGATGTGGTCTGAGATTCTGTATATCTAATATGTTCCCAGGTAATATTGGTGCTAGTGGTCCATGGACCTCACTAGAAAATAAATAATCAAGTATAAAAACTTTCAAATAATAATTGGACTATAAGGAACAGAGTAAGAGAATAGGTAATAACTGTATTATTCAATCCTCTTTAGTTGTTGTGTTTTTTTTTTTTTTTTTTTTTTTTTTGGCCAGAGCAAACTTTTAAAAAACTACATCAGATAATTTATCTTCCTGTCTAACTCACCTACAACACTACACCTCTTTGGGTTCCCATTATACCCTGAATAAAGCCCAATTTGCTTAACACATGGCCTTATAAGATCTGGCCTCAGGAATATGTCTTTAGGTCTGCTCTTATTACATATCCATCTTCCTCGGTGTGATCTAAAGTGATTTTTCTTTTTCTTGAACTTATCCAACTTCCCCCACTCAAGGCCTTAACATTTTCTAGTCTTTCTATCTAGATTAGAATAGTATTATCATTCAGGTTTCTGCTTGACAAAATTTATTTAAGAGGATATTACTGACCACATTCTATAAAAGAACACTTATGTCCCCTTATCTTGTTTATTTTCTTCAAAACACATATTATTATCTATGATTGTTGCAGGAAGTCAGGGACCCCGAATTGAGGGATTGGCTGAAGCCATGGCAGAAGAACATAAATTGTGAAGATTTCATGGACATTTATTAGTTCCCCAAATTAATACTTTTATAATTTCTTATGCCTGTCTTTACTGCAATCTCTGAACATAAATTGTGAAGATTTCATGGACACTTATCACTTCCCCAATTAATACTCTTGTGATTTAATATGCCTGTCTTTACTTTAATCTCTTAATCCTATCATCTTTGTAAGCTGAGGATGAATGTCGCCTCAGGACCCTGTGATGATTGCGTTAACTGTACAAATTATTTAAACAATATGAAATCTGGGCACCTTGAAAAAAGAACAGGATAACAGCGATGTTCAGGGAACAAGGGAGATAACCTTAAAGTCTGGCTGCCTGTGGGCCGGGCAGAACAGAGCCATGTTTCTCTTCTTTCAAAAGCAAATAGGAGAAATATCACTGAACTCTTTTTCTCAGCAAGGAACAGCCCTGAGAAAGAGAATGCGTGCCTAGGGGTAGGCCTCTAAAATGGCCCCTCTGAGGATGTCTGTCTTTTATGGTTGTACATAAGGGATGAAATAAGCCCCAGTCTCCTGTAGTGCTCCCAGGCCTATTAGGATGAGGAAATTCCCACCTAATAAATTTTGGTCAGACTGGTTGTCTGCTCTCAAACCCTGTCTCCTGATAAGATGTTATCAATGACAATGTGTGCCCAAAACTTCATTAGCAATTTTAATTTCGCCCTGGTCCTGTGATCTCACCCTGCCTCCATTTGCCTTGTGATATTTTATTACCTTGTGAAGCATGTGATCTCTGTGACCCACACCCTATTCGTACACTCCCACCTCTTTTGGAAATTGCTAATAAAAACTTGCTGGTTTTGCAGCTCAGGGTGCATCACGGAACCTGCCGACATGTGATGTCTCCCCCGGACACCTAGCTTTAAAATTTCTCTCTTTTGTACTCTTTTCCTTTATTTCTCAGACCAGCCAACACTTAGGGAAAACAGAAAAGGACCCATGTGAAATATCGGGGGCTGAATTTCCCCCAATACATGATAGGTGTAATGATTAACCCAGAGTGTCAACTTGATTGGATTAAAGGATGCAAAGTATTGATCCTGGGTGTGTCTGTGAGGGTGTTGCCCAAGGAGATTAACGTTTGAGTCAGTGGGCTGGGAAATGCAGACACACCCTTAATCTTGTTAGGCACCATCTAATCAGCTGACAGCACTGCTAGAATAAAACCAGGCAGAAAAATGTGAAAAGAGAGACTGACCTAGCTTCCCAGCCTACATTTTTCTCCCGTGTTGGATGCTTCCTGCCCTTGAACATCAGACTCCAAGTTCTCCAGTTTTGAGACTCAGACTGGCTCTCCTTGCTCCTTAGCTGCAGACGGCCTATTGTGGGACCTTGTGATCATGTGAGTTAATACCTAATAAACTCATGTGTGTGTGTGTGTATATATATATATAGTATATATATATACACACACACACACACACACACACACAATGAGTTTATTATTTATACACATGCACGCACACATATATATTCCATTATTTCTGTTCCTCTAGAGAGCCCTGACAGAAATAATGCAATATATATGTTTGTATATATATTGATATATATAGATGTTGATATATATATATATATATATATATATATATATATATATATGCAGGTGGTCTCCAGAAGCTGCAAAAAATGAGAAAACACATTAAAGTTTAATCAGACAAGCTTAATCAGACAAGCGGAACCACTAGATTAAACACACATAGACACACATGGAGAATATCAAATGCAACTGCAGAACCTGGTTAGGCAGTCTCTTTACTGCTGTTTGCCTTCACATCTGATCTGATGCTTGAACTTGTTCACTTGGGAAGGGAAGGTGGATATAAATTGGGAGAGAGTGGGAATGAACTGGAACACACAAACTAAAGTCCACGAGGACTGACTGAAGTGTCAGTTCTTATTGCCTCTGACTTTGATAGCACTGATGTCCTGCAGAAGTCAAGGAGCTTGTTGTCATGGAGCTAAACACACAGATCTGGCCCAGTAGTTGGTAATGCTGAAAGAGAACTGGGAGAAGGTGGAGCAGTTGCAGGCCTGGTAGCCGTCCTATGCCAACACCATAAGCCAGAAGATAGGTAAGATGTGTGAGCAACAAAATGAGTGCCGCTTCAATTCCTCCCTCCAAATGCCCCATGAGAATCTCTCCTGTGGTTGATCCACTCTCACAGAAAACACACAAAGAAGGGTCTTTTGGGAAATGTAGTTCAGCCTAGCCAAGTTGGCTGATTGTCAAGTCACTCACTACAGCATATTCTCTCTCTTAAGATGTCAGATTTTTAAAAATTTGCGTAGTGAACATAGATTTATGACTAAGAATAATATATAATCAATGTGGCCTTTTCACCAATATTAAGTGGTGTGTTTTTAAACCCTGCACATATTTCTTTATTTACAAATATGACCATATAAATTAAGAGTTTGAAGCAATCTCTGTGGAGCTTGTCCTGCCTACAAGCTTAGGTTAGCTGGCATTTAAAGGGTTTCTTTCAAAATGCAGTTCTGCCTTGGCAAATATGACTTCCTCTTTGGATTAAAGATAGTGATGACATTGTACCTGATAATGCTATCTGATTGTGCTGGGGACAGTAAAAGGATTGGAACCTCTAGTAAGATTAATACATAATGTTATATGTATTTTCTCTTTTTACCAAATACAGTTGCAATTGAAAGGCTAACCATTTTATTAGTTTTTTTTTCTTACTTTCCTCCTTCACTTCAGGATAAATGTACTTTTTTTCTACCAAATTGTTATTATGTACTTTGTTAGTAATTCAGCACTAATGAAAGTGCATTAATATAGCAGGACATTTATATATAATAAGGCATTATAAGTATATTGAATTATACTTAATCATTTTTGGTAAGCATAATAATTAATATGTTTACAAAGTCAAAGCTAGATAGAGATTATGATATTGGACTCCTAGTATCTTTGTATCATTCTCACATTCAGCCAGGCTTGTAAGAGGAATCATCCTTGATTCTTTCCTTCCAATCAGCTAATTAGAACAGTCAATTAGCTAGCAATTCCTTTTAAATTCTGTTCTTTTATAATTACTGTTTTTATCCATGCATTTTTTTTTTCAATTCTTACTGCCTACACCCCAAATCAGTATTCATTATCTCAATCTTAGGTCCATATAGTGGCCTTATAACAGAACTTTTACTCTCAAATTTCTTTCCTTTCCTACAATTTATTCTGCAGAATATCGCCCACTTAGCCTTCACTGAATACTGCTTTTATCATGACATTTCTCATAAACCTTTAATATCCTACCACCATACAACAGAGGAACGACCACTCTTTAGACTGACATGCAAGATATATCTATCTCCTCTGTTCTTTCTTTATTTTTCACTTCTGTCTCTGAAACTTTGTTGAGAATAATTAGAATAATTAATAGATTCAATAAATTGAAAGGATCCAAATTTGAAACCTGAGACATCTGAAGAGTGAGAGAGGATAGAAGATAAAAAAAGATACAGTAAAAAAAGAGATACAGCAAAAATAAAGTTTTGAAAGATAATTTTAGAAAGTTAAGAGAGAAAGAGGAAGAAGATTTTGGTGTCAGCTATACTACAAGTGAGATAGTGAGAGAGAGATGAGATAAAGATATTTTTAGATGTTTACTGTAGATTATGAATAGAAACATTCCTCTGTATTTTTAAGTGACTCAAGAGATATAAATATTAATTTTAATTTTTTCTCTACCCAGTGATATTTTAAATGTGTCCAACAGTTTGTGGGGAGTGAGAACAAAAAACACCAGTTTTCACTGCCCTCGTGAAATCTTTCATCCAATAAATACAAAACTGAAAACTGGAGGAAGAGAGTCAGTTATAATGAGCACATGACACAGGGATCTGGTGTAGATTAGGAGGCCGAAGAACACTTCTCTGTGAAATAGGATTTATGCAGAAACTTGTCAGATGTCAGTTGTGGAAATAAAGGAGATAATCTATGTAAAGTATTTAGTACAGTGCATAACAAATGATATTAGAATATTATAATTATCAATCATTTGTAAACAGTCATTTACAGTTATTGTATCTTCTCTATACCTAGATTGTGAAATTGTTCGGGGTATCGCAGATATTTTCTACTTATTTTAAATCTCTGTAATGCCTAGCTCTCTATATTGCTGTGAAGTGTAGTTGAAAGAGCACAGGATTAGAGTTCTTTAGATAAGGGCTGAAATCATGACTTCGGAGCTGTGCAAATGTAGGGAAAATATTTTAGTGGGCTCCAGTTTGTTTGTTGTAAAATAAGAATTATACTACTTCAGCAGATTTCTAGGATGATTAAAAAATAATTAGCATTTTGTCTGGCATGAAATAAATGCATGGTAAAAGGTACTTTATTAATAATATTATTTTCATATTTATAAGAAATAAATATATTTATATAAGGAAGAAAATTACACAATTACATTTAAATGGACACCAGTAATTTGAAATTTATGCTAATTTGGCTGGAGGTAAGGGTGATTTGTATTATTTATAAAGAAAAATCTGGTCTGGGTATGGTGGCTCATGCCTATAATCCTCACACTGTGAGAGGTGGAGTCAGGAGGACTGCTTGAGCCCAGGAGCTCACAACTAGTCTGAGAAACATAAGAAGACCCTGTCTCTACAACAAATAAAATAAAAATTAGCCAGACATGGTGGTGGATTCCTGTGATCCTAGTTCCTTGGGAGGCTGAGGTGGGAGGATGGTTTGAGCCCCCAAGGTTGAGGCTGTAGTGAGCCATGATCATGCCACTGTACTTCATTCTGGATGACTGAGTGAGACTCTGTCTCAGAAAAAAAAAGAGAAAAAGTCTGATCAGCAAAAAAAAAGTAAGTGATATGATATATTGTTGATATCTTAAAAATTTTCTTGTTTAGAAAAGCAATTTTTATCCAGGTTACCAAAAAGTATAAAAAGAAAAAATAAAAATCACCCATAATCTCAGTCTGTCTCCAGTTATGCCCTGTTTATAGGGTAATGTGTTTCAGGATATCTGAGAAATATTTCTATATGATGAGTTATTAACTACACTATTCTATTATTTATTTATTTATTTATTATTTTTTTACTTTATTATTATTTATTATTATTATTATTATACTTTAAGTTTTAGGGTACATGTGCACAATGTGCAGGTTAGTTACATATGTATGCATGTGCCATGCTGGTGTGCTGCACCCATTAACTCGTCATTTAGCATTAGGTATATCTCCTAATGCTATCCCTCCCCCCTCCTCCCACCCCACAACAGTCTGCAGAGTGTGATGTTCCCCTTCCTGTGTCCATGTGTTCTCATTGTTCAATTCCCATCTATGAATGAGAACATGCGGCGTTTGGTTTTTTGTCCTTGTGATAGTTTACTGAGAATGATGATTTCCAATTTCATCCATGTCCCTACAAAGGACATGAACTCATCATTTTTTATGGCTGCATAGTATTCCATGGTGTATATATGCCACATTTTCTTAATCCAGTCTATCATTGTTGGACATTTGGGTTGGTTCCAAGTCTTTGCTATTGTGAATAGTGCCACAATAAACATACGTGTGCATGTGTCTTAATAGCAGCATGATTTATAGTCCTTTGGGTATATACCCAGTAATGGGATGTCTGAGTCAAATGGTATTTCTAGTTCTAGATCCCTGAGGAATCGCCACACTGACTTCCACAATGGTTGAACTAGTTTCCAGTCCCACCAACAGTGCAAAAGTGTTCCTATTTCTTCACATCCTCTCCAGCACCTGTTGTTTCCTGACTTTTTAATGATCGCCATTCTAACTGGTGTGAGATGGTATCTCATTTTGGTTTTGATTTGCATTTCTCTGATGGCCAGTGATGATGAGCATTTTTTCATGTGTCTGTTGGTTGCATAAATGTCTTCTTTTGAGAAGTGTCTGTTCATATCCTTCACCCACTTTTTGATGTGGTTGTTTGTTTTTTTCTTGTAAATTTGTTTGAGTTCATTGTAGATTCTGGATATTAGCCCTTTGTCAGATGAGTAGGTTGCAAAAATTTTCTCCGATTTTGTAGGTTGCCTGTTCACTCTGATGGTAGTTTCTTTTGCTGTGCAGAAGCTCTTGAGTTTAATGAGATCCCATTTGTCAATTTTGGCTTTTGTTGCCATTGCTTTTGGTGTTTTAGACCTGAAGTCCTTGCCCATGCCTATGTCCTGAATGGTAATGCCTAGGTTTTCTTCTAAGGTTTTTATGGTTTTAGGTCTAACATTTAAGTCTTTAATACATCTTGAATTAATTTTTGTATAAGGTGTAAGGAAGGGATCCAGTTTCAGCTTTCTACATATGGCTAGCCAGTTTTCCCAGCACCATTTATTAAATAGGGAATCCTTTCCCCATTGCTTGTTTTTCTCAGGTTTGTCAAAGATCAGATAGTTGTAGATATGTGGCGTTATTTCTGAGGGCTCTGTTCTGTTCCATTGATCTATCTCTCTGTTTTGGTACCAGTACCATGCTGTTTTGATTACTGTAGCCTTGTAGTATAGTTTGAAGTCAGGTAGTGTGATGCCTCCAGCTTTGTTCTTTTGGCTTAGGATTGACTTGGTGATGTGGGCTCTTTTTTGGTTCCATATGAACTTTAAAGTAGATTTTTCCAATTCTGTGAAGAAAGTCATTGATTGGTAGCTTGATGGGGATGGCATTGAATCTATAAATTACCTTGGGTACTATGGCCATTTTCACAATATTGATTCTTCCTACCCATGAGCATGGAATGTTCTTCCATTTGTTTGTATCCTCTTTTATTTCATTGAGCAGTGGTTTGTAGTTCTCCTTGAAGAGATCCTTCACGTCCCTTGTAAGTTGGATTCCTAAGTATTTTATTCTCTTTGAAGCAATTGTGAATGGGAGTTCACTCATGATTTGGCTCTCTGTTTGTCTGTTATTGGTGTATAAGAATGCTTGTGATTTTTGTACATTGATTTTGTATCCTGAGACTTTGCTGAAGTTGCTTATCAGCTTAAGGAGATTTTGGGCTGAGACAATGGGGTTTTCTAGATATACAATCATGTCATCTGCAAACAGGGACAATTTGACTTCCTCTTTTCCTAATTGAATACCTTTTATTTCCTTCTCCTGCCTAATTGCCCTGGCCAGAACTTCCAACACTATGTTGAATAGGAGTGGTGAGAGAGGGCATCCCTGTCTTGTGCCAGTTTTCAAAGGTAATGCTTCCAGTTTTTGCCCATTCAGTATGATATTGGCTGTGGGTTTGTCATAGATAGCTCTTATTATTTTGAGATACGTCCCATCAGTACCTAATTTATTGAGAGTTTTTAGCATGAAGGGTTGTTGAATTTTGTCAAAGGCCTTTTCTGCATCTATTGAGATAATCATGTGGTTTTTGTCTTTGGTTCTGTTTATATGCTGGATTACGTTTATTGATTTGCGTATGTTGAACCAGACTTGCATCCCAGCGATGAAGCCCACTTGATCACGGTGGATAAGCTTTTTGATGTGCTGCTGGATTCGGTTTGCCAGCATTTTATTGAGGATTTTTGCATCAATGTTCATCAAGGATATTGGTCTAAAATTCTCTTTTTTGGTTGTGTCTCTGCCTGGCTTTGGTATCAGGATGATGCTGGCCTCATAAAATGAGTTAGGGAGGATTCCCTCTTTTTCTATTGATTGGAATAGTTTCAGAAGGAATGGTATGAGGTCCTCCTTGTACCTCTGGTAGAATTCGGCTGTGAGTCCATCTGGTCCTGGACTCTTTTTGGTTAGTAAGCTATTGATTATTGCCACAATTTCAGCTCCTGTTATTGGTCTATTCAGAGATTCAACTTCTTCCTGGTTTAGTCTTGGGAGAGTGTATGTGTCAAGGAATTTATCCATTTCTTCCAGATTTTCTAGTTTATTTGCGTAGAGGTGTTTGTAGTATTCTCTGATGGTAGTTTGTATTTCTGTGGGATCGGTGGTGATATCCCCTTTATCATTTTTTATTGCATCTATTTGATTCTTCTCTCTTTTTTTCTTTATTAGTCTTGCTAGCGGTCTATCAATTTTGTTGATCCTTTTAAAAAATTAATTGAAGATGTAATTTAAAAACCTGTTCTTAAAAACTCTGTAATATTTCATTTCTTTTCAGTTTAAAAACAATTTTCTGCGTTCTTTGACAAATACATGACACATTTTCTATTATTTTGGATTTGTTTTTAATTTTAATTAGTAAAATCATTATTCTTCTTTTGTAAAACTTTGCACTTAGATGTGTATACCCTATTCATTTCAATCTGCCTTTATGTTGTATGGACTTATGTTTTTTAAAAAGTGCATGCTCTGTAGAAAGCAGGGTTAAATACCATGGGCTACAGAAGCATGCTGCTGGCTCTCAGGGAAAGGTATTACTTCGGATGACGATTTTTATCTATAATCACATTTCTTTTTTGCTATCATGAGGAGCCTGATCTGCATTATAATATTTGTTGCTTCATAGTCACTATACAGGAAAAAAATCTTTGTTTATAGTTTGAGGAGAATTTTGAAATTACTGCATAAAGATACTTGAAATTTTGCCTCATTGAAAAGCACTAGATGTTTTGAGAAAAATCAATAAACCATATTCCCACCATAACCCAAAGGGAGCAAAGTTATTGAGGTTTGAAATAGCTTACCCCCAAATCATAATTCCTCTAGCATCAGGATTTGTGAGTACCCTTTGCAGCTAAGAGCTTATCATACTGTACTTGGTGAATTATTTTCACTAAGTTTATAAAATACACTTAGTCTTTGCACATTATAAGGGATGTTCAAATCCTTTCATTAAAAACACAATGTTTTGCATGCTATTAATTTTTAAGATGCATTAGCAAATGGATCCTGAATATTAAATGAACACATTTATTTTACCCTTAAAAAAACAAAACATTAATTTGTAGTTAGAATAGAAGCTTTGTTTTCTTAGCATAAAACAAAAGACAGGCAAAATACACATGAAACCTTTCACTTAACTATGAGATAATTCACCTGAAAATTTCAATATCATTCCAAAAGTTTAGCAGGGCTGTGATGATCTTCTCTGACATCTGTTGTTCACTGTTCACAGCCTCAAATAAGCAATTCCCAACTCTGTTAGCTGCAGAGGTTGTGATGTGACTGGTTGCCAATGGGTGGCGGAGTGACTTCTTATTTGTGGATCATGTGTGTGAATAAAATCTGTCCATTCTGGAAATATCTCCCAACTAAAATTTGCAGCCAGTCAGATGCACATTATCATTAGGTTTGTGAGGCTTAAAAGATGATGTTTAAAAAGATGATGTTCATAAAAGCAGATTTTTTAAATAGAAAGTTCTATTTACAAATATGGAATTCTTTGAGAAATAGGATTTGTAATAGACATTTCCTAATTCATAATAAATGCATATTTCTCATAATTAAAGAGTCTGTAGAGGAAAAATGAAGTTCGTTTGTGGTGTATTAACTACTTAATATTAAAATATAAGAACAATGGCTCTCTCCCTACCACTATTTTCAAACATTGTCTATTCAAAATTCCAGGCTGGAAAAGAGAAACAAAAATATGTTCAGCAACTCTAATAACCAGATAAGTGCTATACACCTGTAAAGGCAAAGTGCTTTGAGTTCAAGGAGTGGAGATAGAAGCTTTATTATTGGGTGGTAATGACAAAGAAGGGATGAAGGGATGGCATTTGAGTCCATGTTGTTTGAACGTTACCTGTTTGTTCCATTTCTCCTTCACTTTGCTCTTATTGTACTGGAAGAAGTTTATTTTGGCAATTAAAAATAGATCAAAATGAATTTACTAACCATTTACGATACTACGTATTTTACTTATTTACCTTGTTTATTTTCTGATGTCTGCCACTACCACTAGAATGTAAACTTTGTGAAGGCAGGGGCTGTTGTCAGTTTTTATTGCTGCTACATCCCCAGTCCTTAGCAGAGAGATGGGGAGAGTGTAGGTGTTTAATGAATATTTGTTGAGTAAATGTTTAGATAAATTAAAAATAAATTGCAAAACATTTGCAAAGCCCACCAAAGAGGAAGAAATAAACCACCCGTAGTCTTGTCAAAGCATTGGCACCTGAAGGATTATTTTCTGTGTATTATTTTTATTATTACAATTGTATAATATAAAACAAATGGCACCTTTAGATTAGATCAGCTTTCCCAATTCATATTGTTTACTGCAGACATTTTGGAGGGTATAAAAAAATAGGAATCAGAATAAAAGTTAGCTGGAATACTATTACACAGAGTAACTGTATTAACATCTTTTTTCCCCATCTTTTAATTTTTCCTGTGTAAGTCATGACAGTTCTGCTTGTTAAATAGTTTCAGATCCATTCACATTTCCTGTATTCCTGTATTCATTGTCAGTCTCCAGCCTCTTGCTTGGATTATTTCAATTGCTTTTAAAATTACTTTATCCACATGCAGTTTTGCCTGCTCTCCATCCTTAGGTTTTGTTTTTACTACCATATGTTCTCTTCTCACGAAAGATAGAATGATTTCTTCAAAAAACATTTACTTATTTTAGTCCCCTACCTGATACTCTTCAATGGATTCCAATTGACCTTAGGATAAAATCCCTAAAACTCTTGCATGATACAGTTGGTGACTCTGTCTCCAACTTCATGACTTGATCATCTCTGATTCTTTATGATCTTTACATAATGAACTTGAAGGGGCCAGTTTCTTTCCTCTAGACCTTTGATGAAATGTTGCCATGGATGAATTGCCCTTATTACCTGCATTTGATTAAATCCTTCTCCTTATTCGAATTTCAGTTTAAGTGCTTTACAGTGGGCTTATCCTAACCACCAAACACACAGCCTGTTGTATGGTGAGTGTTGTTAATATTTGTTGCACTGAATTTGTGTTTTCACCGCATTCTACATTGTAGACTGATTTTTAAGGATATTTATCACAAGAATAGTTACAGATCCAAGAAGAAAAATAAGATAATGAGTGATTTATACTATTTATAACTGGATCATTTAATTATCATTTGCAATTTAAAAATAACATGACTCAGGTTGTTTAATATAAGTTTTACAGATGGAGAAAATCATCACTCAAGTTCTTTGGCAATAAAATGATCATTATGTTGTTTTATGAAGGTTTGTGTGGAAGGAAATCTACTTCTTGTGTAATAAATCACCTTAGAACATTTCATCAATGCAGCCTAGATATAGTTCTAATAGTTTAAATGTCACAGCAATTGTTGGAATGCAATTGCACCAGCCATTGCTTGAGAAAGCAATATTCACTACGTGGTTAGGGTAGAGAGTAAGGGGAGATGATTGAGATTTTAATATTAATCAAAAGGGATGTAAAGTAAAAAGAATTGAAAAATATGTCCAAGCCTGTAATGAGGTATTTTTAAAATTTGCATACAGCCATAGCTGAGTCTTATACCTATGTGTGATATATACTGAAGGGGGAATAAATACTGAGAAATCCTGCTTTGAGTTCTCAGCCTTCTTGCAGTATCCATATTCATGTGACAATGTTCCTGTCAACTGAATGTGAACGGAATAAATGAGAACGATTTCTCCTATCCCTGCCATCCACTCTGCTTTATTGTGGATCATGTGGACAAGGACAGTACCTCAGTGATGGCAAAAAAAAAAAAAAAAAAAAAATAAGGGAACAAACCTAGGTCCTGATACTTTTGCAGAGAAGAGCAGCTTTGTTAAGTCAGACTTTTTATGTGTGAGATAAACAAATTATGTTGTTGAAGACACCCTAATTTCGAGTCTCAATTCCATCAACAGGACTGAATGCTAATTAAACGTGTGGTCATCAAAAATTGCAATGTATCTTAAATGAATGTGGATGTGATACTGGGAGGGAAGTAGCAGAAGATGCTGACAGCTGAAGTGAATTGGAATCAGGTTCTTGAGCAGGGAACACCTGTACCAGGTTTCCAGTCTCACAAACTAATAAAAAAATATAAATTTGTTTATTAGTCTCTCTGTGGCACTTTTTTTTATTTTTGCCTTTTAGAAGCGCTTAGCAAATATGAACCTCCTTTTTATCTATTAATAGATGGCTACTCCTTCCTTCCTTCCTTCCTTCCTTCCTTCCTTCCTTCCTTCCTTCCTTCCTTCCTTCCTTCCTTCCTATCTATCCTTCCTTTGAATGTATTTTAAGTATTGGCAATAGATATTATTGGAAGGATAGAAATAGTCAAGAACTAAAAGAGAAAGAAAGACTTTTCAGCTAAAATGAGACTATAGAGTAGTGCAAAGGGAGTTAGAATTTAACAAGTGCTGGCAGGAATTATGAATAGCCTTGCTCTGCTGCACTGATCAGGTTCATATTATTGAAAGGCCTATGGATCCTCTGAGATAAGAGATTCAGGAAGATACTTCCCGTTCACAATTAATTTGGGTAAGAGTGTTTTCATTATCCATTGCTCCACAACAAATTACAATAATACTTACTGGCTTAAAACAACTATAACCATTATTAATTTCTGTGAGTCGGGGATCTGGAGGGGATTCTGTTTGTCAGTTTTTGCTTAGGATCTCTCATGAAGTTGCAGTTGGATATCTACTGGTGCTGCAGCCATCTGAAGGCTTGACTGGGACTGGAGAATTCACTTTCAAGGAGGAACATTTACATGGCTGGCAAGTTGTGCTTTTTGTGGTTCAGGGCCCTCACTTCCTGTTCATGTGGGCTTCTCCATGTTTTAAGTGTTCTTAGGGGAATGTAGCCGGCCTTTACAAGAGCAAGCAATCCAAAAGAGCAAAGTGGAAGCTGCAATGACATCTATGATTTTGCCTCAGAAATTACACATCCCATCTTGTGCTATACTCTATTGGTCACACCTGTTACTCCTGATTTAGTGTGGGAGTAAAGTATAGAAGGAGGTGACTTGGATGCTAGCATTTACAAAAACAGTAACCTAAGAATATCAAGAATCAGGGAAAAAAATGAAATAAAGTGGCTGAAATTGAATCCTAGATCTAAGTCTATGTCTTAGGAGGCTTTGTCCTTTTCATTCCACCTATTATTTTTTATACTTACCTCTGATGTGTGTTGAGTGGTTGAGGAAAGGAGTTCTTTTACCTAATAAAGCATCAAGTTGTACCTTGAAAGATATCAATAGTAGTAAGATGCTATTATTCTGAAGAATCTGTAAGCAGGACTCTAAGGGGTAAAAATTGCACTCCCAGATGGAGCCAAGAATAAAGGTGTTCTGAATGCTGGAACACTACCCAGAGGTGTTGTAGGGCAATCTGATGGGAAAAATAAAGAACTAGGCTGCATTATCCTCTGGATTCGAGTGGGATTCTTATCCACTACTAACAGGACTTGTTTTTTTGATAACGGATTCTGACTCTATTGTCCTTCATCCACCTACTTTTTTGAACAAATTTGTCTACACTTATTTTGTAGCTATCTTTTGTTTCTCTGATCCTATTGTGAAAAATTTCCCATGTTAGTAACACTTATGTGCAATGAGATTTATCAAAGATGCAAAAGCCATAGTGGATTATAAAAGCAGGGCTAAATTTTCTCAGCCATTTTACCTGATTTCAAACAGAGAAGCTCTGCTTGTATTCATTTTATATATTGCAGGTATGCGTAGGAGGTTTTTGACAAAATGGTTTTACTGCTAAAAGGATTAGGAAAATGCTGATCTACAGTATCATTTAAAATAGCTGCATCCTGTGTGTGGATGTCACATAAATTATTAAAACGACTCTCTATTGTAAATATTCAGGTGCTTTCTTACTTTTCTCTATTATAAACATTGCTGTGATAAACAATATTATAACCAACTTTTTTTTTTTTTTTTTTTTTTTTGAGAGGAGTTTCGCTCTTGTTGCTCAGGCTGGAGTGTGACGGTACAATCTTGGTTCACTGCAACCTCCGCCTCCTGGGTTCAAGCTGTTCTCCTGCCTCAGCCTCCCGAGTAGCTGGGATTACAGACATGTGCCACCACGCCTGGCTAATTTTGTATATTTAGTAGAGATGGGGTTTCTCCATGTTGGTCAGGCTGGTCTCAAACTCCTGACCTCAGGTGATCTGCCTGCCTCGGCCTCCCAAAGTGCTGGGATTAAAAGCATGAGCCATTGCGCCCATCCTATAACCAACTATTTGTACTCATCCCTAAGTAGTTATTCATCTCATTTCTAGAAGCACAATTTCTGTGTTGAATTATATATATATATATATTTTGATGTTTTAAAATAAGTACTGCCGAATCATCATCCAGAAGTACATGAACCAGGAAGTACATTGCTGTACTTCCACTAGCAGCACTTGAGTGCTGCGTTTTCCATGCCCTTTCCAATGCCAAGTGCTATCATTAGCAAACTCTTTTCACTTTGGATTTTTTTTTGTATAATATTAAAATTATGACTCAAGTTGAATATTTTAATGTATTTCTTATTCATGTGTATATGTGCTAAGTAAGCTTTCTTTTCATTTCCTTTGCACAGATGCTAGGGGAAAAATTGTCATAGGGAATCACGCTTTTTTTTTTTTTTTCAATATTCATTGTCTTCTAAGAAGAACAAATCCTAAAGAAGGTTCTTTCTTTACTAAGTAGATGCTGGGTATTAGGCTATAAATGGGAGAAATTAATAGAGGGCTAAATTTCTCATCCTTAAGAAAAGAGACATAATGAAATAATGAGACAGGTGGTGGAGAAAGAGAAGAAGGTGGTTGGGAAATGAAGGTGATAATAGAAGGATGGGTTGATAGACAGGATGATGTAGGGAAAGAAGATTGGAGGAACAAGGAGGAGGGTAATTGATGTATCCAGATAAAATTTGGGGATAGCAGCACTTAAAGGCATGGGGTGACTATACATCCTCAGTTTCCCTGACAGTTCCAGTATTTGTATATTAATCTAGGAAAATTATTCAAGTGCCCTGATTTAGATGATAAACCATATGATTACTTCCTAGAAGATTTTTTAAAGAATATTTACAAAATAGTTTGTGATGTAATTATTTCTGTCTTTCCACACAATTTTCAGTAAAATATCCATCCTTTATTAATACACTGTTGAAATGGATCTGACTTTATGATACATGAAATGACAGCATCCTGCTTCAAGGGAGGCATGGGCTGTTCATGGAAAGTCTTTTTGATGATGGCCTTTCATGATCTGCTTCTACTCAAGTCTCAACTATATTTCCAGTCATTTTCCCATATGTACCTGAGCCAATGCAGCCATTTTGAATTTCTTATATTTTTCCAGAGTTTACATTATTTCATGAATCACTCTATATAGTCTCTCCTGAAAATTCCACTTGTTTCTTAACTGCCTAGTGAACTTTTAAGGTCCAGATCAGAGCTCCATTTCCTGGCATTCTTCCTTACAATATCAGTGCTTTTCTTTACTGCAGCACTTATAACATTGTTCGATTGGTTCACTGGCCTCTGGCCTCCTGGACGATGACAATTATGTCCTGTTTGTCTTTATTTCTTTCTCCTGTGAACACCATGCCTAACAGAAGATCAATTCAAAAAATACTTACTGAGTGCCTACTATATGCTACCATATATTACCGATGCCTGGTACAGTAGTAGAGTACACCTTCTACTCTTCTACTGCTCTACAGTAGTACCAGGCACCAGTAACAGATGAATCAAATACAGTACAAGATTACTCAATGTGGTCTAGATGTCAATCAAGAGAAAAACATGTAAGTCCATTAATTATCAAGTGCTGAATTTGTAGAGGTTTCTATGATACAAGATCAGAAACACAGAGAGAAGCATGAATAATTATGGATTGATCAAGGAAGAACACATAGAAGAAGTTCCTCTTGGGTTGTTTTTTAAGTATTTATGGAAATTCTGCAAGTGAGAGAGATGGGATGGAATGCATGTGCACAGGCACTGAGGATTAAAAGGAGTTTGGAGATTATAAGTAGTTTAGTGTTTCAGGATTGTGTGTTCAGTACTCAATTTACATGCAATTTTGATACTGTTTTATCAGGCAAATATTTTTTAAAAAACTCTAAATAAAGGAAGCATCAGGAGCAAAGGTCATCAGAAGTAAAAACTGGGTCTATTAACTCAATGGTGATTCAATATGCATTTCTTCTTTTTTTTTTTTTTCTTTTTACTCTCCTCTCTTGCTGCAGTTTTCTGTTTCCCTGCTTCAAGTTTTATTCTTACTTTTTTTTTCTCCTGTGCTTCTTACTCCTCCACTCCTCTAACTGGAGTTTGTGCTGAGGAGGAAAGAACAGAGAGACAGCTGGACAGATAAACATGAAAGACACAGAGAGAGGATACGTGGTGGTGGTGAGGCTGCCATATCTACCTTTCATCTTTACATAGAAGAGCAGTCATCGTTTTTCATATTGTTTCTTTGTGTTTAAAAATTCCTTTTCTTGACAGAAGTGCAGGATTACAGACACTAGGTATCCCTGTATTAGATAAGAAGAAAGGAATAAACAATTTCTATATACAGGCATACCTCGTTTCATTGCACTTTGCTTTACTGTGCTTCACAGATACTGTGTTTTTACAACTTAAAGGTTAGTGGCAATTCTGAGTTGGGCAAGTCTATCAATACCATTTTCCCAACAGTATGTACTGACTTCATGTCTCTGAGTCATATTTAGGTAATTCTTATAATATTTCAAATGTTTAATTATTACGTAAGTCTGTTATGGTGATCTATGATCAGTGATCTTTGATGATACTATTGTAATTGTTTTGGGGCACCAGGAACTGCACCCAGATAAGATGGCAAACTTTACTGATAAATGTGTGTTTTTTGACTGTTCTACTAGTTGACCATTACCCCATCTCTCTTCTCCTTGAGCCTCCCTATTCCCTGAGGCACAATATTGAAATTAGGCCAATTAATAACCCTACAATAACCTGTAAGGTAATTGTTCAAGTGAAAGGAAGAGTCATGTGCTTCTCACTTCCAATCAAAAGCTAGAAATGATGAAGCTTAGTAAAAAATGCATGTCAAAAGCCAAGACTGACTGAAAGCTAGGCCTCTTGTGCCAACCAGCTTAGCTGTGAATACAAGAAAAAGTTCTTGAAGGAAGTTAAAAGTGCTATGCCAGTGAACACATGAATGGTAAGAAAGTGAAACAGCCTAATTTATGACATGGAGAAAGTATTAGTGGTCTGGATAGAAGATCAAAGCAGCTACAACATTCCCTTAAACCTAAACCTAATTCATAGCAAGGCCCTAACTCTTTTCAATTCTATCAAGGCTGAGGGAGGTGAGGAAGCTGAAGAAGTTGCAAGCTAACACAGATTGGCTCATAAGGTATAAGGAAAGAAGACATTTCTATAATATAGAAGTGCAAGGTGAACCCACAAGTCCTCATGTAGAAGCTGCAGCAAATTATCCAGAAGAACTGGCTAATATAATTGATGAAAATGGCTACACTAAATAACAACTTTTCAGTGCAGATGAAACAACTTTCTAATGAAAGAAGATGCTAGCTAGGACTTTCAAAGTTAGAGAGCAGATGTCGATGCCTGCTCCAAAGCTTCAAAGGACAGACTGACTCTCTTGTTAAGCACTAATGCATCTGGTAACTGAAAGTTGATGCCAATGCTCATTTACCTTTCTGAAAATCCTAGGGCCCTTAAGAATTATGCTAAATTTACTCTGCTTGTGGTCTATAAATAAAACAACGAAGCCTGGATGATAGCATATCTGTTTACAGCATGACTTACTGAATATTATAAGCCCACTGTTGAGACCTACTTCTCAGAGAAAAAGATTCTTTTTAAAATGTTACTACTCATAGTCAATGTGCTTGGTGATTCAAAAGCTCCAGTGGACATGTATAAGAGAGTAACATTGTTTTCATGCCTGCTAACACAACATCCATTCTGCAGCCCATGGATCCAAGAGTAATTTTGATTTTGAAGTCTTTTTACTTAATAAGTACATTTCATAAGACTATAGGTGCAGTATATAATTTTCCTCTGATGGAACCGGGCAAAGTAAATTGAAAGACTTCTGGAAAGGATTTGCCATTCTAAATGTCATTAATAACATTAATGATTAATGAGAGGAGGTCAAAATATCAAGAGACGATTATAATCTCAAAAGATACAACCCTGAATGCAGTAATTCTGATATTGAATTCAAAAGATCAAAATCTTTGACGTCTAAAATCCTGAAGATCACAATCCTGAAACATCAAAATCCTGAAAATAAAATTCTGAGAAAAAAACTTTAAAAATTATATAATTTTATTGTGAATCAGACAGCCTCATGAACTAGAATAGGTTCAGAGAGAGTCCCTAAAAATGATTCCACTTTACACAATAAAATAGGCAATAATAACATATAGTTTTGCAAATATAAACACTGAAGTATATTAATGACACTTGCATGAATATAACAGTTCTGACTGGGTGAATCATATTCATAAATAAATAGGTCAAAAAGGAAAATGAATAAATTCATATCAATATGATTGATAGTTGTGTGCACTCAGCTTTATAATTGCAGCCATTGGAAATAGTGTGATGAAAAACCTAAGTCTTTAAACAAGATCAATGAAAAACCATGATGGGTCACCACCACATATGCAGTCACCCAGAGAGCTGAGATTCTGAAAAATTTTATCCTTCACAAATGCAGATGTACAAAAAGGACATCTCTTCATTTACTGAAGAAATTTCAACATTTTTACATACATGCAAAGTGATTACACACAGGTAACATTGTGATAATGCACTTTCATAGAGTAAAATTTGCAAAAAAATGTATAAAACACATTCAAATGCTCTAAAAGTCTCCATACAATTTATACCTCCAATATTGGAAATTATGGGAAGACAAAATTTATAACATAGCAAATTGTAAAAAAGTAATGCTGACAATTAAAAATAGTGAAAAAATAGAAAAAAGAAAAAGAAACAAGAACACCACCCTCAAAACTAAAAAAAAAAATTCAACACATGAAGAAGTGTATTACAGGGATAGATTATGGGTAATTGCAGAAGATAATCCATAAGAGCTGGCAGATTTTCATGATCATTAACTGTATTTTTAAGTCTTGCATCACAATGAATAGCTTTTTTTTTTTCTTTTTTCTTTTAGGATATGGCTCTCCTAGGAAAATAGTTTACATTCACTTTCTATGTGGCACCACTGTCTTTCAAATTCTTATATGATTCAATATATACCAACGTGAGCATTCCCTGCTAAATTTTCCATCTTTTGTGTCATGCTTCTATGTAGTTTTGTGTATGTGGAAATCCATTCCACATGCATTCATACACAGACTGCAAATTTAGCAGAAACAATATTGGTGATATAACAGCAACACCGTTGTGTAAGTGTATTCTTATTCTATCATGCACATAATTATTGTTAAGCCAGTCAGTGACTTTCCTAACTTTTTCAGGCAAAAGTGGCTTTAATTCATTAAAAACTCCTGGAAAGTCATTAGCTGGAAGGAATTTCAATGTAGGCAAATGATCACTTTTAAACTGAGGTATTCATTGTTGCCATATCACGCGGCCAAGCTACTCATCTGAACTTACCACCAAATGCAAATAAAAAAATTATAAGATAATAGTTCCATCTAACATGGTGTGACTATCCTGTGACAGTTATTTGGGGGGTTTTAGATGATAGGAATTTTAGACTTTAGAGACTTAGACTTCAGAGATTTTGATCATTCAGGATTTCAACATTTGCGATTAAGCATTCAGGACTGTGTCTTTCAGGATTATCATCCAAATTCAAAACATCAACATTAACAGTAGTTTGGAGGAAGTTGATTCCAACCCTCATGAATGACTTTGAAGGATTTAAGGCTTCAGTGGATAAAAATCACTGCAGATGTGGTGGAAATGGCAAGAGAATTCGAATTCGAAGTGGAGTCTGAAGATGCGACTGAATTGCTGCAATCTCATGATAAAATTTGAATGGATGAGGAGTTTCTTTTTATGGATGAACAAAGAAAGTGAGGGTTTTTTTTAGTGGACTCTACTCCTGGGGAAGATGCTGTGAACATTGTTAAAATGAAAACAAAGGATTTAAAATATTATGTAAATTTATTTGATAAGGCAACGGCAGGGTTTGAGAAGATTGACTTCAATTTTGAAAGAACTTCTATAGTAGGTAAAAGACTATCAAACATATCTCATGCTACAGAGAAATCTTTTGTGAAATGAAGAATCAATTCATGTGGCAAACTTCCTTGTCTTATTTTAAGAAATTGTTGCAAGTCAATAACAACTTAATTATACATTTAAAAATAACTAAGAATGTAAATGGATTGTTTGTAATACAAAGGATAAATGCTTGAGGGGATAGATACCCCATTTTCAATGATGTGATTATTATGTATTGCGTGTCTGTATCAAAACATCTAATGTACCCTATAAATATATACACCTACTGTGTACCCACAAAGATTAAAATAAATTTAAAAAGAGAAAAAAAAATTGTCACAGTAACCCTGACCTTTAGCAACCACCACCCTGATCAGTCAGCAGCTATCAACATCAAAGCAAGACCTTCCACCAGCAAAAAGATTATGACTTGCTAAAGGCTCAGATTGTCATCAGCATTTTTTAGCAATAAAGTATTTTAAAATTAAATTTAGACATAATGCTGTCGCACACTTAATGGACTACAGAATAAACATAACTTTTATGTGCACTGGGAAACTAAAAATATTGTGAGATTCATTTTATTGTGATACTTGCTGTATTGCACTTGTCTGGAACTGAACCTGCAATATCTCTGAGGTATGACTGTACTTACCCTTATAGGTGGTATTATATAGTCACCAGGAGTTCAGACTCTGGAGCTAATAATCTTCTTGGGTTTGAATCCTAGCTCTGCTACCAATGAGCTATGTGACCTTTGGCAATTTACTTAATTATAATATCAGTAAGTACCTCATAACTTTGCTTCAAGAAAAATATGATATAATTCATATAAAGTACTGACGACAGTGCCTGAAGTAAAAATACAACAAATATTAGCTATTATCATCATGACTATACTGGATGGATCATTTTATACATCAAACTTCTTTTGGATAAACCAATGGTCCAGGCTATAAATGAACATGTCCAGTGATAGCAATGAATTCCTCAGTTACTTGGTCCATTCTGTTGATAGACAACTAAGTTGTTTGCAAGTTTTTGCTTTTATTATTGTAATAAAACTTTCTAGAGTTAATAGTCACCTACCAAGACTAGGCCCTTGCTTTGTCCTTCAAATATATTATTTTTATTCTCATAATATCTGAAAGCTAGGTACTGTTTTTTTCCCCTCCCAATTATAGAAGCAGACATTAAAGTAGAGAAATAGTTTGTCGAGAAGAAGATAAACTCTCATCCTTTAGTTGTAGTCCTATTCTCTGGCTATGATATGAAATAAAATCAAAGTTATCTCTCTGCTTGAACTATAGCTTCCACATGTCCCTTATAATCCCCTGTGCAATGCCCTGTGCATTGAGATTTAGCTGTTGTTTAGACTGCCCATGAACTTGGAGTGTCCTCTTTCCTCTCTTCTTTCTCTTTTTATCTTCTCCATCCTTTTGGTACCATTTCTCACCTTTTCTATAAAGTCACTGCTCATTGTTTTTGGCATAGTGCCTAGCCCTTCAGTGAAATAATAGCATGTGAAGCCTATACCACATTATTTTGATTTTAATTTAAATGTATGATCATTACTTCCTGTGATTTTATGAGTTAACTTAAAATTAGTTTATAAATTACTTTCTGGTGTAGATAGTGTTTTATAATCCTGTATCTGCTGTCTTCATCCCCCAGCCCCCTCACACACATGCACTGCACATGGATTTAGTAAGATCATAGATTTTACTCATATATTTATATATTTTTTTCGATTTTGCAGACATTCAAAAGTTAAGCAAAATAAAAGAAAGAGAGCAAATAATGAAGAATCAGAATAAATGATAAAAAAATCACAGAAGGAAAATATTCTATTTATTTTAAACACAACCCTTGATTGATTACTCCCCATAGGCTTCTTCTCCCTTATGATTTATCTTAATCAATCTTGGTTTCCATATTTAGTCTTAAGGGTCCCTCATTAGGGTGACATTCTAGTTCTTTTCTTTGTGGGCCATGTTTCATGCTACCTGTAAGGCCTCTTTATCGTGTATACATTTTCTGGTATATGCTTGGATTTTTTCTTAGATACTCTTATATTCTCTTGGATATTTTTTATCATGTATACAATTTCTTGTGTACTCGTGTTTTTTTTCTTGGATACGCTTGTATTTTATTGAATCATATTTTTGTATACTCTTCAGTGGTAAGACCAGTTATAAGGTATGCATTATAGAAGAGAAAGTGGCCTCTGGGACTTAGGATAATCTCTTAGGTCATTGAGGGTGAAGTGTGTCTTTATCTCGACCTTAGTAGATGGAGGAAAAGGAGAAGAAGAAAAATATTTCTTGTGACGTTCTAGATGGGAAAAAGTTTCTTGGGGAGAGTCTTTTGGCCAGTCTTTTTGGGGTAATGAGGAGGTACAAAAACTGTAGTGGTGGGTAAATGTTAGATTATGGATGTCCCATAGGCTTTTTGTAGTTTTTTCTATGTGAAATTTTATTAAAAATTAAGTGGTATAATAAAATAGTTACTCAAATATATAAAGGTGAGATAATATCAAATATGGGCTACATAAGGCAGTGTGCAAATCTGAAAGCTCTATTGGCATATCATCTAGGTCTTCCTCAGTGTTATCTGGGTCTTCAGCAGTGTGGATTTTGATAGTTTCAGGTCAGTCATAGATGACTATTTTCCAAGATTTGTTTGAACATTCTCTTTTTTATTAAGCTTTTACAGGAGTTATTTCAACCTATAGTTGGATAACTCTTTATTTTATTTCACTTCTCACACCTTCACTTGTGGTGTACCCTTTATATTTAAAGAAAGCCCTTAAAGGAAACATATGAAGAAACAGAGCCGCAGAGTGACCAAATTGCTTTTACAAAATTACCTAATTGTCTAGAGACTCACACAGCAAGAATCCAGTTCTTCTGCCTTTCAGTTTAGGAATTTAAAAGGCTTTCTGGGTTTTCAAGGAGAGTCAATCTTTAAACTCAGCCAGAGGTGACATGAGGGAGATTCCACAACACACATAGAAATACAATTTTTAGGGACGTAGCGTAGTTCCTGCAGCAATCTATCCCAGCTGAAATGAATGTGTCACTTAACTTGAGCAAACTGGAAAAAAAATGTGGTTGGTTCCCACTGCAGGACTTGCATGACAATAAAGGAGGATTGCTGCTAACAGAGAAATAGCTTTCATCTATCACCAGAGGAATGAACACGACCCTTCTCAGATGAGCTACTGATTTTCACCTTCCATCATCCATCTCACTAATGGTGGATACCAAGATGTTTCAGCAGATGCAGTGATATTGGTAGATTATTAGGGATAGCTTTGTCCCTTCACATTTTTGAAATTTTGAAAGGTCAACTGAGGAGACTTTGACAATCTGGGGTGATAAAAGATATACTTTGTGGAAAACATTTAGCTTTTGAAAGCAGAGATTCTTCATCTGTCTTGCTCATTAGTCTCTCCCCAGACAATATTTCTTGAGTCATACATTTACAAAAATGTTTGTGTAAAGACAAAAGGTCCCTGTAATGAAGGTGGTTTAATATCAGACAACAATAGCTGCTGCAGTTCTATGATAATAGCTATTGTGGATTCCTTTTACTTGTCTCAATTTTTTTTTAACGTATAAAATCAGTATTTCATGGTGTAGTGATCAGGTATAAACACATTTTGTAAATGTTTCTGACAGGCTTAGAGTGGGAAACATTAAATTTTGAGAGTTACATTTACTGTGTTAGAACTAAAGTTGTGACACTCTAGAGTGAAATGGCATTGCAGATCAACTTGTGCTCCCCTTGAGGAATGGGCCCTCAATCTTTGCATGATAACATAGTAGGATTAATTGCTATCACATATTAACCAGGATGGTTAGCCGCTGTGTCAGGCACAAACTGAATTTGCTTGTGAAAGTTCATTATTTACATGCTTTAAATAATGTGTCTCTCTTATATCAAAATAATTTTTTTCTAAAAAAATAAATTCGAGGCCGGGCGCGGTGGCTCATGCCTGTAATCCCAGCACTTTGGGAGGCTAAGGTGGGCAGATAATCTGAGGTCCGGAGTTCGAGACTAGCCTGACCAACATGGAGAAACCCCGTCTCTACTAAAAATACAAAATTAGCCAGGCATGGTGGCGCATGCCTGTAATCCCAGCTACAGTGGAGGCTGAGGCAGGAGAATGGCTTGAATCCAGGAGGCGGAGGTTGCTATGAGCTGAGATCAAGCCATTGCACTCCATCCTGGGCAACAAGAGTGAAACTCCATCTCAAAATAAATAAATAAATAAAAATAAAATAAATAAATAAATTCAATAATCATCTGTAGAGTAACTATCATATGCAACAAACTATGCCAGACATTTGGGACTTATTGGTATAGCAATCTTAGAGCTTAGGTTTAAAAATTGTCATTTCTTTGATACATTCCTTAATACTGAAGTAGGAATATGTTCCCACAGCATGACTCGTAATGTTGTTGCAGAAAAACTTCATTCTTTCTTATATTATTCTTAGTAATTTTCATATCAGTCTCTTCTCCTGACTTCTTGAGGAAGATATCTACATTTCTCATAGTGCATTGTAGTGCTTTGATTTAGCATGTGAACCCAATGAATGAAATAAATATGCTATTTGCCTAGTAAGAGAAGTAAAAACCTGTGAATGTAGAATTGCATCATATACAGGTTTAATTTATATAATCAGAATAGCCTTAATTTTGAAGATGTCAGAATGTTTGGATCACAAAGCAATGTTGATATGGAGTAAAAAGGTAAAATTTTGATGGCTGGCTCTTTTTTAAATCTGAGGGTTTTTTGCATTTTATTATTCTTAATGGCAAAAATCTATAGAATTTGGCTGAATTGTGACAGATGCACTGTATTAAGAAACTATAATTTGTTTTAAATAGCTCATTATTAGCTTTGTGATCACAATTTTAGATAATGCATCATACCTTTTTCTTTTGTACTTTAATACATAAAGTCAGGAAATATTTCATTCCTAAGTGGTTTAACAACTGTTACGTAGCTTTTTCTTTTGTTACTGTTGCAACGAATCTCCAGTGACTTAGAGTTTTTTAAGTCATTTCAAAAATGGGTGTTTAAATCTCAAGACAAATATTTTAATATTTATTTTCCTTTTTGGTTTAATTCACAGGCTGTTATTTTTGTTGCATGAAATTAGTAGATCTCTGAAGAATTGATGTAAATTTACATGCAGAGTTTAGTTCTACTTTTTTCTGTTTTTCTTTCTCTCTGGTAACCAGGTGGGAAATCAAAAATCTCATCTCATGAGATCAGCTCCCATTAAAAAATGTAAGCCCATCTCTGCTTGAGATCCCCATAGCTTCACTATTACAGAAATTGGATTAAAATGCCTGCAACAAACAGAAAAACATAGCCTCGTTTACTTTACAGGATCATTAAAGATAAAACCCAGGAACAAAGTGAAGACTTTTCATAGTTCTAAGGAGGGCAAACACATTTAGGTTAGTATATAAAAAAAGCAATAAAATACATTTTTTCCTTAGAATAGTATTTCTTTCTATTTCAAAGAAATGCTGTCATTATATTTTTCCTTGTTGGAACTAACTTGTTTTGATTCAGGTAGAAATATGTGTCGTAAGTAGGAGTAAAAAATATTTATCAGATACAGTCTATTTCCATGGAATCACTATGGGCTGAAATATTCTTATAAGTAATACATTTTTGTGTTAACATTAGAGACAGCCATAGAGATGATTTAAAAATTACTTTAAAAAAGGGAATAGAAAGGAGCTGCTGAATAACATTTAAGCCTACTAGACATATTCTTAATAAGTTATGTGCAGATTGAATTTTTATTTATGGAAAATACTGAAAATTCACTGGACAAATTTGTTATTTAAAGGTCATCTATTCCACAAATATTTATTGTGGAACCTACTGTGTGGCAGGCACTCTGTGATTATATGGAATAATTGTATTCTAATGTGAATCATTTGTGTTTAAATGTTCATATTTGAGTTTAATAAGCTAGACTATTTCTACAAGTAATTTAAACAAATATTGTTACAATATTATATTTTTGAGAACAACATTTTGTAGTCAGAGATCGTGAGATTGAATGCAATGATCTTAATAAATACATTTTAAATTTTAGATGTATAATTCTTCAATTTGAATAAATATCTCTCAATCAGATTCTTAGATTAAATGAACCATTCCTATTGCTATCCCTTGACTCACAGATTTTATATTATGGCTGAGAGGATTTAATAAAAAAACAGGTTGTATCTTGTAAGACAGCATCTAAACCTCACAAAGTATTATCTTCCAGTTGACACTGTTACTGAGTCTTTAAAAAATAATTTCAATATTCCATAAGGCCAGGTATTTCTGGGACAGAAGACCAGCAAATCCCATGAACACTAACCTATTGCCTTATTTTTTTCATTGTAAATTGAGCTTTCTTAGTCAGAAGTAATATTATTTGGGTTAACTTGATGATGACCAGACATCCAGTAGTCAACAGATTGTGTTGCTGGCAAAGCATGGCAAGCAGAGAAGGCAAATCCAAATCCAGAATAAGTGTTTATTCCAGTAAGAAAAAATCCACTGTGGATGAAGGGCTCCAAAATAATCAACTTGCTGCCAAGTGACTATCTGATCTATTCAGCATATAAGAGCCTATATAGCGTTCAAGGATGGCTGCTATTGCTGAAAAGTTACGCACTCAGTAGTAATGATAGCTAAACCAGCACTGGTGAGGAGAAGTCCATTTGTTGAGCCTATTTAAAACCCCTTATGACACTATGGCTGCTATTTAAACAAGTATGTTGAGTAAACATTACTGGGACTGGGGGAAAAAAGCCTGACTGGCATCTACATGTTAGAACAACTTGTCCCCCTAATTATCGAGAGCATCCTCTTCAGTGGGAACTTTATGCTACACATTTGCATAGGACAAAAATACTTTCAAATTCTAAGAGTTTTATCCAAACCTCTTTGTCTCAGACCATCTGGTCAAAGCATTAGTCACTGCCCTTCAATTGTTCCTCATGCAAGCTCTCCTTCCAGGAAAAGTGGACCACAATATGTACCGTGCTAGTTATGCCCACTGGGAGGATTATGTTTTCATCATCTGTCAGCATCACACCAAGTGGGGCTGTAGGGCCACAGCAGTCCATTTTAAACTAGTGCCAGCATATTGGACAGAGCTTTCTATGAACCAGGCTTGAAAAGTTTCACAAAGTAGTCATAAAACATAAACTTTCCATGTGGTCATGGGAGTGGGTTGAGGAAGTGATGACTCTGCAGTGAGAATAACCACAGTGAACAATTGACCCACCTGCTCAGGAAAACCACTTGTGTTCTCAGGAACTGCGTTTGCTTATAGAACGTTGGTGGGTATTCCCAACTTAATAACTTGAATGTTCAGTGCATAACAGGCAGCTCATGCTGTGGTATGTCCTGGTGTATTAAGGTCTACTATTCAGCCTCTAATATAAACCAATATACAGCCATTAAAAACTAAATTCTAGCCAAAGAAAACATAATTCCTCTTTAACATTTGAGTTGTGGTTTTCTTACTGGGGCTTAATTTCTACAAAGCATTTGAGCTGTCATGGACACTTCAAACATCATTGGATCTGTTGGGTCATATGGGCTAAAGATTTCCTTGCACTGAAGTCTGGACTGGCTGGAGAGCCAGTCCTAACTGTGGCTCCATTTCAAGTTGTTAACATGTTAGGTTATTTACCAAATGGCAAACAGCAGCACATAAAACATGGTTTATGAGGTTTTTCCTGTTAAATTTTAATGAGAACTGGCAAGTTTCATGTCTGTTTCTTAGAGGTGAGAATTTCAAGGTGCAGAAACCAGTTTTCAACTGCCCCCAGGCTATTATATCCCCCCAGATTTATGGGAATAGCAGGCTTCTAAAATTTCATAAGATAGCTTTTTCAGCCAATAGCCTCCATGTTTTTTCATCACATTTAAACTGCTTACTTCTTTTTGTTTATCAGGACCTAGATATATGATGTTCACTGTAGTGGACAGCATGATGTTCTATGAAATGATGAGAAAGGAAAGTCTTTTACATTAAATTATGACACAGAGCCCGATAGTTTATTTAGCCCAGAAATAAGACAGTGAAGGTTTACTGTTGGCCTACCCCAGAATAAAAAATTGCTTCTATATTCTCTATTTATTGGAATAGCAAAAATGAAATATTTGTCAGACCTCTTTTACGGACTAGCAGGCAAGCAGGGGCAGTGTTTATTTGCTCTCCAAATGAGGGAAAACCTTGGATAACCGCTACAATAGGAGAGTGCCTGGTTAATTACAAAGTAATCTTTGTCATTCATCTGGGAGACAATTTGTGGATGTTTTCCAGTTACTGAGTATATCTATTTCAACCATACATGTTGGAACTGGATTAATAGTCAAAGGATGTGTGACAAAGTATATTTTCCCTAAATTGATACAATGCGGGTTTCACATGTTTTTTCAGACCCTGCTCTCTATCAAGAGGTAAAATCTGTATTTCCCACTCCTTAACTTAGTCAGAACATGGTAACTGCTTTGAGAAATAGAATGTGGCAAAAATTTACTTATTATTTCAAAGCCTGTGTTAGAAAAGCAGATACAGCTTCCTCCTGGCTCTCTCTCTTTCTTGGGATGCTTGTGGTTGGAACATAACCACCATTTTGTGAGGAAGCCCAGTCTACATCCAGTGGCCACATTTAGGTGCCCTGGCTAACAGCTCTGGCTGAGTAAGCTTCCTGCCAACAGCAGCATCAATGGCCAGACATGTGAGTAAATAATCTTGGAGATGATTCTAATCCTCACCTTTGAGGCACCCCAGTTAATGTTAAATAGAGCAGAGATGAGCTTTCCCTGCCAAGTCCTGCCCAAGTGGCAAATGTATGAGCACAACTAATATCACTGTAGCGAACCACTGTTTTGGGACAGTTTGTTACTGAAACAGATGGGATAAGAGTTCTGTAAGATCCACTCGAAGTGGTCTCTGGTCATAACTCAAATTTTTTAAACTGATTTTTAACAGCAGTGGACAGTGCCTTTGGGGACTGTCTGAGTTTAAAGCTAGTATTTCATAATCCCTGAGATTTCTGTCTACATCTTCTTCCCCAGTGCACAGTTAGCCTGGTTACTGGCTGCAAGTCCCTTTGGATATGCTATACAGTAAGATTTACAGTAGGCACTTTTGATTTTTTCCTAAGGAAATCCCCAATTATACATGATTTCACCTTATGAAAGGTATACTAAGTCTGTGAACTGATTCAAGTGAGTTGAACATCTACTTAGATTCTAAGGACCTAGTAATCGGACACCTACCTCAAAAGATACCTACAGGACAGATAATGCTGATAATCATATTGACTCCAGTGTTTGTTAACATGACCATGCCCTCATTTCTTTTTCTGTTTACAAGTTACTACTTTATCTGCTACCCAAATGGTCCATCATAACCTTTGCAATAAAGAGCCCATTTAAAAACCACCATATCCATGTAGTTTCCCAGCCAACAGAGAATAGCCAACTCGGTATTTTAATTTTTTTGAGATGTGGTCCTATTAATTTTTATTTCTTTACATATTTTTTGAGATGGAGCCTCATTCTGCTGCCCAGGCTAGAGTGCAGTGGCATAATCTTGGCTCATTGCAGCCTTTACCTTCTGAGCTCAAGTAATCCTCCCATCCCAGCCTCCCAAATAGCTGGCACTACAGTAAAGCACCATGACGCCCAGCCATTTATTTTTATTTTTTATTTTTGTAGAGACAGGGGTCTCACTATGTTGCCCAGCTGGTCTTTGACTCCTGGACTCAAGTGCTGCTCCCTCCTCAGCCTCCTAAAGTGCTGGGATGACAGGTGTGAGCCATTGTGCCCAGCCAGCACTTAAAAAACATATTGGTGTTCTCCGAGGCAATGCCACTCTCAGTGCCTTCATGAAGGGCTTGTTTCTGGGCCCTCCGAAGTGACGTGGTTTGCGTTTTATGGAGATGCCAGGGAGGTGAAGAGCGGGTAACCCATGATTAATCTACTTCAATTTTTCTAGCTGCCTAAGATGTTGGTTTCCTTCTACATTATACCAATTATTTCTTACCCCTTAACGTTATTTACCACCGTAAATTTATGTTTCATTCAACCAACCTGGCAAACATTTAGACCTCTGTTTTGCTGTCTAAGCAGGTACAGTAAATCCCTGCTAAGAAATTTAGCTTACTTTAAAATAATTTGCTTTCATTATTAGTGTAATGTTAGAATCCATCCTTACACATATTCTCCAGGTCTTTACTAATATAAACTAGCAAAATTTTGCAATTTTCTGGTGAGTAATGTTTCTCCACCTGGGAGTGAACATGTGGTTGCTTCTGCATCCTCTCTACCCCAACAGAGTAAGAGGGTCTGACACTGATCCTTGATCTACAGATAATGAAGGGTGGTGTGTGAGAATTCACTTTCTTTTATATGATGAGGGTGTTGGTTTAGGGTATTAACAGATTGACAGGTGTTTATATAGGGTACCACTGCCCAGGAGAAAGGGAAGAGAAGTTGCTTCCACTGGTAAGTGAGGCTATGTAAGAATTGTAGATCTGGAGTACTCAGAGATATTTGAATCCTCTCACATGAGTCCTTTCAATTTTCAGGGCTCTACTCCTTCCCAGTCAGTGGTCTGAATTTCACCTAAGAGACCTGGCAAGCATTTATATTCAGTTGATGTCATTTGACAAAATTTAATTAATTTGATTACCTTAGCACTGTGACTACAGGAGACAAATACTTTTAGCCTAGTCATAGAAACTTCTCACTGTACTTTGAACTGAGAATTTGGGATTTTGAGCTTATAATATCCTCTTTTTTGGTAATTCTTTAGTATAATTAGAAGTTTACTGTTTACCCTACAGGGTTTATATTCTATATGTCCTTCACACTGTTCTATGGCAGTGGGTACTCAGTCCTCTGAAGCCAGCCTTTAGCTCGTCCTTCATTCCTGTTAACCGTAGGTGATAATTTAATTAAATATTCAATCACCATGTTTCATGGGCTGCCAGAGGCTGGATCCTTACTACTTCCAAATCCAATCTGCCCATATAACGAATCTCAAATTTCTATTTTCTTGGGGATATGGTATTTTCAGCCATACCTGCAATTAATTCAGTATATGTCAGGATTCTGGTTGGAACAAAAAGAAATTACTTAGCTTTTTTAAACAGCAAAAGAATTTGTTAAAATATATTAGGTGGATTACCTAACCTCTAGGAAGGTTAGAGATCTAGGCTGTGAAGCTGTACAGCCAGAGAACATATACACACAACACTAGAGTGCTGCTTCAGCAAATACACCACTGCTCTTGCCATTGGGAGATAATGCAGCTTGCACTGTACACACTGGACATAGTAGAAATTGTGTTCATGCTACTTCCCAAAGTTTGATTTTCCTCTTACCATTCACAGCAGAAGATGGATTCCTTATCACAGCTGCATCTTATTGTTGCTTCTTTCCCAATTGAAGTTTTCTGTGGATGTATCTAATTGGCCTAGCCTATGTCACATGCCAGTGTTCTATCTGTAAAGGTAGCAGAGAATGAGTTCTAGCTTCTCTAACTTTGAGAGTGAGAGGTAGGGGTTAATTGTCTAAGATGGATTTCCTGCAGGCTGGTCTACAGGAAAACTTACCTCCTTCCCAGGGTGGAATGATTTAGGAAGTAAATGTTGTTCCATGCTAACTGGCTATAGCTCATTGCTTGAGGGAATCATTCTTGATAGAGTGTAGGTGGTAAGTCAGGTCCGGGGGCCTGGATAATGCTGTATCCACAAGGCTTGCATCCTTGATCATGCCAGTGAATGGGTTGGTTCTCCTAATGGTGCAGCTTAAATGCCTATGGCCTGAAAACCAAAATCCTTTTTCCAAAGTTTAATGTCTGTCCTTGCTAAATCCTAGTAAGCTACTGTAGCATATGAAGAGCAATAGAGAAACAGCTCTCTTACTGTTGTCTCTGTTAGTCTGACTTAATAAATACTGTCCTAGAGGGTCCAATGTGTATTATTTCTAATTATTTCCTTTGGGTTATGCACAGCAGGTTGGCAGGTCTCATTAATACTATGAAAAGATGAGCATCTACAGGCTTAACAAATTTCCAGTGCAGATAAATAAACCAATCCATAATCTGATTTTCTTTATATTGAAACAAAGACTCATTGTAATTATAAATAATTGGCTAGAATGATGGGGTTTTTATTACTAACTGTATAGTTGAGATCCTTGATTTGATATCTTAAATTGGGTCTATACTATAAAATTTAGAAGTTATAAGGAAATGGAGAAATTTAGAGCAAAAACAAGTAAAATATATAAAATAACATATTTCTCTGGTTCCTATTCAGCATGGTCTGGCTTCAATTCTGCAAAATGCAGGCTAATTTTGCCACAGATTATTATTTTTTGAAATATGTTTTAAGAACTCTGAATATGGCCACACTGCCTTAGAAAACTGCAGTGGCTGACCTATACCACCTGATCTAAAAAACAGAATGGCTATGGCTACAGCTTTTAAGTACTCTCAGTTATTTTCATACTCTATAGGTGATATAGTTTGGGACTGTGTCCTCACCCAAATATCATCTTGAATTGCACTCCTATAATTCCCACATGTTGTGGGAGAGACCCAGTGGGAGATAATTTGGATCATTGGGGTAGTTTTCCCCGTACTGTTCTTGAGGTAGTGAATAAGTCTCACGAGATCTTATAGCTTTGTCAGGGGTTTCTGCTTTTGCGTTTCCTCATTTTCTCTTGCTGCCACCAGATAAGAAGTGCCTTTTGCCTCCCACCATGATTCTGAGGCCTCCTGCCATGATTCTGAGGCCTCCTCAGCCACGTGGAACTGTAAGTCCAGTTAAACTTCTTTTTCTTCCCAGCCTCGGGTATGTCTTTGTCAGCAGCATGAAAACAGACTAATACAGTAAATTGGTACCACAAGTGGGATGTTGCTGAAAAGATACCCGAAAATGTGGAAGCGACTTTGGAACTGGTTAACAGGCAGAGGTTGGAACAATTTGGAGGGCTCAAAAGAAAACAGGAAAATGCGGGAAAGTTTGGAACTTCCTAGAGACTTGTTAAATGGCTTTGACCAAAACCCTGATAGTGATAAGGACAACAAAGCCCAGGCTGAGGTGGTCTCAGATGGAAATGAGGAACTTGTTGGGAACTGGAAAAAAGGTGATTCTTGTTATGTTTAGCAAACAGACTGCTGGCATTTTACCCCTGCCCTAGAGATTTGTGGAACTTTGAACTTGAGAAAGATGATTTAGGGTACCTGGTGGAAGAAATTTCTAAGCAGCAAAGCATCCAAGAGGTGACTTGGGTGATGTTGAAGGCATTCAGTCTTATAAGGGAAGCAGAGAATAGAAGTTCAGAACATTTGCAGCCTGAAAATGTGATAGGAAAGAAAAACCAGTTTTCTAAGGAGAAATTCAAGCTGGCTGCAGAGATTTGCATAAGTAACGAGGATCCAAATGTTAATCCCCAAGACAATGGGGAAAAAGGTCTCCAGGGTATGTAAGAGACTTTTGCAGCAGCCCCTCCCATTACAGGCCCAGAGGCCTAAGAGAAAATGGTTTCATGGGTTGGGCCCTGGGTCCCCATGCTGTGTGCAGTCTTGAGACTTGATGCCCTGCATCCCAGCCACTCCAGCCATGGCTGATAGGAGCCAATGTAGAGCTTGGGCTGTAGCTTCAGAGGGTACAAGCCCCAACACTTGGCAGCTTCTACATGGTGTTGAGCCTGTGAGTGCACAGAAGTCAAGAATTGGGGTTTGGGAACCTCCGCCTAGATTTCAGAAGATGTATAGAAACACCTGGATGCCCCAGGCAGAAATTTGCTGCCAGGGCAGGGTGCTCATGAAGAACCTCTGCTAGGGCAGCGCAGAAGGGAAATGTGGGGTGGGAGCCCCCACGTAGAGTCCCTACTGGCGTACTGCCTAGTGGAGCTGTGAGAAGAGGGCCACCGTCCTCCAGACCCCAGAATGGTAGATCTACCAGCAGCTTGCACCATTCACGTGGAAAAGCTGCAGACACTCAATGCCAGCACATGAAAACAGCTGGGAGGAGGCTGTACCCTGCAAAGCCACAGGGGCAGAACTGCCCAAGACCATAGGAACCCGTCTCTTGCATCAATGTGTCCTGGATTTCAGACGTGTAGTCAAAAGAGACCATTTTGTAGCTTTAAAATTTGGCTGCCTTACTGGATTTTGAACTTGCATGGGCCCTGTAACCACTTTGTTTTGGCCAATTTCTCTCATTTAGAGTAGCTGTATTTACCCAATACCTGTACCCCCATTGTATCTAGGAAGTAACTAACTTGCTTTTGATTTTACAGGCTCATAGGCAGAAGGGACTTTCCTTGTCTCAGATGAGACTTTGGACTGTGAACTTCTGGATCAATGCTGAAATGAGTTAAGACTGTGGGACTGTTGGGAAGGTATGATTGATTTTTAAATGTGAGGACATGAGATTTGGAGATGCCAGGGGCAGAATGATATAGTTTGGCTTTGTGTCCCCACCCAAATCTCATCTTGAATTTCACTTCTGTAACTGGCACATGTTGTGGAAGAAACCCAGTGGGAGATAATTTGAATCATGGGGGTGTTTTCTCCATATTGTTCTTATGATAGTGAATAAGTCTCACAAGATCTGATGGCTTTGTTAGGGGTTTCCACTTTTGCCTCTTTCTCATTTTCTCTTGCCACCACCATGTAAAAAGTGCCTTTCACCTCCTGCCATAATTCTGAGGCCTTCTCAGCTATGTGGAATTGTAAGTCCAATTAAATCTCTTTTTCTTCCCAGTCTTGGGTATGTCTTTATCAGCAGCATGAAAATGGACTAATACAATATGTCTGTCTGTAGATATTAACTAGTCCAATTTGATGTCTAAGCTTTTATTATTATTTGCTGGAACAGAATAAAATGAATAATAAATAGAGATAGAGAAGCAGAGAGAAATAGAAATGTTTGTGAGTTGTTCAGATGATGGGTTTCCTAGGGGAGTAGATTCATCAGACTTCTTTGAGTTGTATATTAATGCTCAAATGTCCTAGATATCACCACCTTATGACTTACTTTCTTTTCAATGTTCCTATAACTGTATTGTGAATCCTTGATTGCATAAAGTCTGGGATTGTACTTGGTTCACCTTCCCAAATATTTATGAGGATTCTTAGGGTTAAACACTACTTTTGGTATTTATCATTCTTATGCTTTTCTTTATATTTTTATTGCACATGGACGCATTTCTAAGTAGCATATGGCATATCATTATATGTTGGAAATTTTAAGTAAATGGTATCATATTATCCATATACATTTATGTTTAATTTGATGGTAGGTTTATTATTTTTTTTTGAAATATACTTGTGTATATATATATATATATGTATACATACATAAAAATTTATTTTTACAGTTTTATAGTGTTTCATTACTTAAGAATGCTATAAATGCTTATTTCTACCTCCTTTCTAAATTTTTACATTACAAAAACTGAGCTTATGACTTGTGTTTTGGGCATGTGTCTTTCTAAAGTATATAGGCAAGAATGAAATTGCTGGGTCTTCAACTTGACAACTGTCAAACTGTTTTCTAAAGTGACAGTGCCAAATTATGCTCACATCAATGTGAGATTATTTCTCAGTCCCTATTCCATGTTTTGCCTACCTGACTACCACTGGAGTTAAATGTCTTTTATTATGTTTATTTGGCCATTTGGATTTTCAAAATAAATTGTCTTTCATAAACTTTGCCCATTTTTCTGTTGGGCTACTGTCTTTTTCTTATCACTTGCATAAATTATTTATATTATTAAATCTCGTATTTGTTTACATGACTCATAGCTATCTTCTAACAATGTATGGCATGTCTTTTCACTATTTTTAAGAAATAATGTTTAATTTAGTGCAAGTTATGAGATTTCTACTGGTTGGTTTTCCTAAGATGTCTATTTTCACAGCTTCTGGTTTAAGAAAAGGGGCATGAAGTCAGTGATATGGTTTGGCTGTGTCCCCAACCAAATCTCATCTTGAATTGTAGCTCCCATTATTCCCACATAATGGGAATAATGTGAGAGGGACCTGGTGTGAGACAATTGAATTATGGGGCCAATTGCCCCCATGCTGTTCTCATGGTAGTGAATAAGTCTCATGAGATCTGATGGTTTTATAACCCTTTGTGCCTGGTTCTCATTCTCTCTTGCCACCACCATGTAAAAAGTGCCTTCCATCTTCCACCATGATTGTGATGCTTCCTGAGCCATGTGGAACTGTGAGTCCATTAAATCTCTTTTTCTTTATAAATTACCTAGTCTTGGGTATGTTTTTATCAGCAGCATGAAAACAAACTAATATAGTCAGATCATATTTCTTTTCTTGAAAAGCATTCAGGATAATGAGAAATTTATTCTTTACTTTGTTTTATTTATTTTTACATACTTAGGTATGTGAGAAGAAACATAAAGAAAAATACCTGTGCTTGTGAAAGAAAGAGGCAAAGAAAATATTTTGAAGTGAGAAGCCCACAAGAAGGTGTAATATCCAAAATTCTCTTTATAACAATGTGAATTAGGTGCAGACATTGGGTTGAAAGGTTTTCTGTAACTAATTGTTATGGCTGAAGAAATAACAAGACTGGCTATATTTTTAGCGGATAGCCTGTCAATGTGGAAAGACAATAGAAGATACTTTGTAGTCTGGGAAGAGGTTAAAAAACATATACCCAACTAGGTTGTAATGAAAATTTCAACCAAAAGGAAAGTGGCACATACCCAGCTTTAGGAATCATATGCAAACATCCTGAGAAGAAAACCTTACCTTCTAAAATGTTAAGTAATAAAAAAATGAATTGACACAGTATATATTCAAAGATAAAAGGAAAAGTGAGAAAAGAAATGACAGTAACATGCAATGGATGGAAAATAAATATCACTCCATAGACAAAAGAAATTGTGGTCAAACACTTCTCATAAATTGTAAATTCATAAATAAGTAAACATATATATATGTGCTTGTGTGTTTTAAATATTTGTGTTGTGTAAGAACATGCTTGCAATTCATTTGTAGATCTTGTTGGGGTATTGGCAATCATATAGCATATGCATATTGATATTTTAATTTATTTTTTCTCTTAATCCTAACTTTGATTCATTTGTATTGTCTTGTATAGGCTGGGGCATTTGACACAAGGTTAAGTAGAGGTAGCAAAGTATAGAAGCAATGAAATCAGTATATTTCTGCCTTTAATGAAAGTGCTTCTGAAGCTTCACTGTATATATGCCCAAGATAACCATTATCAGGTTAAGAAAGATCTTCTCTATTTATAATTTAAAAGATGCTTTTCCATGAATAAGTGTTGAGCTTTTACTAAGTGTATTTTCCCTTATATTAAGGTCATCATGATTTTTTTCTTTTAATCTGTTAATTTGGTGAATTATATTAATCAAGTTTCTAATGTAAAATTACCTTTTTTTATTTTCCCAGAGACATTTTGCTTTTGCTTTTGCTAAGACCTCAAAATGTTACCATTTGGGGAATATTTTACTGATACATTTTCAGCTTGGGGCTTCTTGGGCAAGGTGAGCCATAAAAATGTGAATTCCTAAATTTGTATGATGGCTCATATCTGATTACTAATTTTATATGAAGTATTTTCTTCTTCTTCTTTATTTTATTTTCACTAATAGCACTGGCCCTGACAGATCAACATTTTTTTTTCCTTTGCTTGTTGATATATTTATTCTTGTCAAGTGTTTCACTGAATATATAGTTCTTTGGTTCTTCATTGAAAATGAACTTTTTGATTCCCCACTTTCTTCTTTCCAAAGGTTCTAGATCTGGTCATCTCTCTTTCTCTGTTGCATTAAAGTTAAAACCTTTTCACTACTCTTTGGATACCCCAAAATGTTTAAGTGCCAATTTCAGCTTTCACTTGATGTTGAAGCTCTGAGTATTTTTCCTTCCTCCTTTTGAGCTTTACTTTCATTTTCGTTATATTTTAACCAGTATTTCCAGTTTTTTGGTATAGGGAATTTTTAGGCTATCTAGTTAGCCATACAAAGAAAAATTATCAACAGGACATTTTTGAAGTTAGATAATGCTGGTGACCTTGAGTCTGGTATGCTAAAAATGTTTGTGTGTATGTTTTCTGAGTCTTAACTACTTCCTAACATAATTTGTGCAATTTTCTTTCAAATCCCAATTCCTTAGTATTTTTATGTTTACTTGTACACATTGTTTTGATCTCATATAAACAAAGACCTTGACTTGCAGTTATGTGTGTACTTGATCCTTGACATAACATTGGCTCAAATCAATAATTTGATAACATAAAGCTGATTTTGGCCTATACAAATATCTTGGTCCTTCTCTGAGGGTGCTGCTGCATTGTGTTGAACTGTAAGTTCAAGTTGCTGCCTTTTTTCTCTTCTCAGAAATATTCATATTAATAAGCCTTTTGCTTTATGCCAAAGTAGAACATTTTTAATGAAGGAATCTTAATTTGAATTGGCCTAATGTTATTAGCATACTCAGAGAGATTTACAAAGGGTCAGTTGAAAAGAATAAAGCTAGTATTTCATGATACATAATTTGAAGTTTTTGGTAGTACTGGAAAATAACATTTTCAAATGTATTTAAATCTTTCTACTTTTATAACTGTGTTGTATATCAAAGCTATTTGAATTAGTTAGGGAAGGAGTTTACTTTTAATATAAATTCAGTGCATAATAAGAGCAAGCTTATATTGTAGTAACTATATGCAGGCATTGTTTCAACTACTTTACATATATTAACTCATTTAATGTGCACAATGGCCATCTATGAAGTAATTATTATTAACCTTTCCAGTTTACAGTTGTGGACAGTAAGGCATAGTGAGATAAAGTATCTTGTGCCAAGTCACACCACTGGTTAGAATAGAGCTTAGAGAGTAAAACTCAGTCAAGAATCCATAGTCTAGTCCCTTAACTACATGATATTACTTTCTTTTCCTGGCTGCAAAATATATTTTCTATGATTTCTATGGTTTATTCTATATTAAATAATGTATTAAAGGGGTATAATGAATTTGATGCTCAATTAGCCTGTTTTTGAAGAAAGCTTATATACATTTTGCATAGCAGGTTTATATTCAAAATTGACAGATAGTATAAGCTTTTAAAAATCTTTGAAGACACCCATATTTTGTATTAAGTGCCTCATAAAATTATTTTAAAATATGTATGTAACTTGTACTGTCTTCCTTAATAAATTTCTGCATACGTCTTGGTTTATTCAGCTTTTGTAAATCTTATTACCCACACAAGATGCAGATCATCATAATATATTTTAGATTGATCAGGTTAGTATTATTGACCTGGAATGAACATTAAAGATTATCTCACACAATCTCTGCATTTTGGGGATGAGAAAGCAGAAGTCCAGAAGAATGGAAACGACATATTGCAGAGCAGGGGTGAAAACCTCTATCTTCTTGCTTTTAGAACAGTGGAGTCATATCTTACATAGGTATTAAGTTCTACATTTATTTAGTAAGGAAAAAGTAAACATGGTAAAAACTGTCATTTAAAAATCCCATGGGAAGGGGTATGCTATTGAATCTAGTTTTCTTCAATATTGAAACATTTGGTTATTTCTTCCTGGGATATCCAGATTATTTAGATGGTTCATGTCTTCCTTAGACTTGGCTATCTACACTTTTGTGAAAATAGGCTATAAAGATGGTCTCAAAATCTTGGTGGCTTAGTTCAATTAAAGGTTATTTTTTTCTCTGGTTGGAGTCCAATGTTGGGTTCGTGGCATATCTATTCCGAGGAACCCAGGTCATCCCATGGTCCCACCATCTCACCATTTTGTAGCTTCAAGGTCACTCTAGCATTATCCTTTTGGTAGAATAGAAAGATATTTTGAAATTTGGAATTTTAACATCTTACATAGCTTACATTTAGGGACCATGTTGTACAAAAACTACATATATTTAAGCATTAGAATAATGCTCTGCATGAGAGATGATCATATTCTTAAAGGCAAGTAGAGATGGTAAATTAATATTTTTTCTATATCATGCTCACTACAAGTCATATCTAGTAAAATATTTATTTATTATCACTTTTTTTTCTGTTTTACTGAAGTATTTCAGTAACTATTAAGGAAAGCATTGAGAACACTTTTTTTTTTTTTGAAAATATACTTTCTGCTTGCCAGGGATTAAGAGAACAGTAGCAGAAACAGACACAAAATAAGCTGTAATACAATGTGTTAAGCCAAGAAGCTAGTGTTTTTAAAACAGAGTGATTAGTGCCAAAACCCAGTGACCATGTTTTGTTATTTATCCATGCTCTTATAGGTGAAATTCTCTCTACCTGAAAGAAGGATATTTATTAATTTAATTCAAAATTATACGGTACTCTTAAGTGTTAGGAGTAAAAATATTAAAACATAATATATGCAGGTTCAATATAAAGACCTCAGTGAGCGAAAGTAAAGTAATTGTACCTTCTATAAGCACAATTTTTATAATGAAATTAAAATGGAGAGAACTAAAGGGTAAATCTGGGTATTTTCAACTTTACTGATCATATAAAAATCCTCTCAAAAATTATATTCTGTGTATGATTTGATATACAAGCTTAATGAAATTATATAAATATTCTATGAATAATCTGGGGCTGGGTGTGGTGGCTCATGCCTGTAATCTGAGCACTTTGGGAGGCCGAGGCAGGAGAATTGCTTGAGTCTATGTGTTTGAGACCAGCCTGGGCAACATAGTGGGAGTTTATCTCTATAAAAAAGAAAATTTAAAAATTCGCCACGTGTGGTGTCATGCACCTGTAATTTCTGTTAAAACGTTGTTTCTGAGTGTGTCTGTGAGGGTGTTTCCAGAAGAGATTGTCATTTGAATCAGTGGACTTACTAAAGATTCACCCTCATCCAATATGAGAGGCACCATTCAATTGACTCAGGGATCAGATTGAGGAGTAGAACAACAACAAAAAAAAAACAGAGGAAAGGTGAGCTCTCTTTCTTCTGGCCCTGGGAAAACCTTCTTCTCCTGCTCTTTTGTGTCAGGACTCCAGATTCTCAGTCCTTTGAACTCCAGGACTTGTACCCTGCCTGCCCCGCCTGCCTTCCTTTTACATCCCTTCAGATTTGGGATGAGAATTACACTGTCAGCTCCCCTAGTTCTGAGACCTTACTTTATAAATAAAATGGTACTTGCCTTTATCTATATTCTTCTCACATTTGAAAATATTGTTTTGAGTTGTTTCTTTATACTGGTCTGTATTTGTTTATTTCATTTTATTTTTAGTTGATGCATAACTGTATATATTTATGGGATACAGAGTAAAATTTTAGTATACGTGCATAATGTGTAATGATCAAATCAAGGTAATTAGCATATCCATCACCTAAAATATTTATCTTTTTTTGTGTTGTGAATATCAATATCTTTTCATCTAGCTTTTTGAAAATATACAATAAATTATAGTTAACCATATTCATCCTACAGTGCTGCAAAACACCAGAACTCGTTCCTCCTATCTGGCTGTAATTTTGTGTCTGTTAGCCAACCTCTCTCTGTCTTCTCCTCCCTCATTCCCTGTTCAGCCTCAAATATCCACAATTCTACTCTCTACTTCCGCGAACTCAAAAATTTTTTAGCTCTTACATATGAGTATGTGTTATGCCTGACTTCTATCTTCTATGCCTGACTTATTTCACTTATGATAATAACCTCCAAGCTCATCTATCTTTCCACAAGTGACAGGATTTTATTCTTTTTCGTAGCTGAATGGTATTTCATTGTGTATATTTGCCACATTTTCTTTACTTTTTAGTCTGTTGATAGACATTTAGGTCAATTCCATAGGTTGGCCACTGTGAATAATGCTGCAATAAACATGGGAGTGCAGGTATCCCTTCGATTTACAGATTTCCTTTTTTTTGGATAAATACCCAGTAATGGGACTGCTTGATCATACGGTAGTTCTATTTTTAGTTTTTTTAGAAACCTTCATACTTTTTTCAATAATGGCTGTACTAATTTACATTCCCAGCCAATAAAGTATAAATGTTCCCTTTCCTTTATCCTCACCAGCATTTGTTATTTCTTGTCTTTTTTGATAATAGACATTCAACAGCTTTTTAATGGTAAAAGGCTCACTTTTATCATTAGATGCATTTAGAAAAACATCTTTCAACACAGTTTATTTTATTCCCATCCTTTTTATTTGGAGAGCTCTCTTCAAGAATACCTTTACATGTAGTTTATTTTACCATTTCCTAGTGCGTCTGCCATTTAAGAATTTTGATTCAGGTGTGGTACTGTCCTATGTGTATCTAATGTTGGATGATATAATATCTGATCTGCTGCTATAAATTTAAGACAACTGAGTACTTCTTTTAAAGCATGCCAGTTTTAAATCAGTTGAGAAACAAGAAAAAAAAAACCTCTGAAACCAAAGCAAACATTTATTGGACACATCTGTAGATGTGTTGTGCTTCTATGCTTTCATTTGAACTGAATGGTTGTCCATGTGTGAGGAAATAAATTTGAAAGCTAACTGAATGCTCTGGCCCATGTCTCCACGTATCTCCTGCATCATCTGGACTTTTAAAAGTATTAAATCACACATGGATGGCTGGGTTCTCCAAATAAAGTTGACAAGAGACAATTCTTTCATGTTTGTGTTAACCTCAACTCACTGAGAAGGCAACTGCTTTTGTGTAGAGTTTTACTGAATTTACAAACTCTTTTGTTTTCGGCAATTTCTTCTTTACTCTCAAGTTCTTGTCCAGATGCTTTCTTCTTCACATCTAACAGTCATTTTCCTTAAGATACAGAATATGTAAATGAACTATCAAGTATCAGATTACATTTGGGAGAAAATGAAGTTTGAGCATATTCACAAAAAATAATTTCTGGAATATTCTACTTGTTTGAAGAATTACCCTTCACTGTGCCCCTAGTTCACACACACACACACACACACACACACACACACACACACACACACACACAAAGAGGTGGCGGTGGGGAGAGAGAGAGAGAAAGACTGATGTGTAAAACTAACATTTAGGGGTTTAAAACAAATCTGGATTTTGTTACTATCAATGTGAAATAATAACAAAGTTGTTCAAGCTTGCTGGCATCATGTAGTTATGTTTGAGAAAATACCTACAAATTAACACAGTGCTCATTGCTCACTCTCTTTTTATTTACTTATACATTAATTTCCATTTGAATGGAATATTTACTGACAATATTTACTTACACATTAATTTGCATATGAATGTATTTTGCCACATCAACATTCTCTTCTTAGAAAGAAAGATAGTGGACAGAGCATATGTTTTCATTCTACATATTGAACTGAATTGACTCACCTCAGTATAATGTGACATTTTCACATTGTAATTGTTTTGGGTAATGAAATTGAGCTCAATAGTTGTGACATTTTAAACATTAAAAAATCTACATTTCTAATAATAAAATTTGAGATATGATTTAGAATTTTCCTTTAAATTAAAACTATAAAAATACATAATGAATTGAACAAAAAAGAAATTCTTAATTTTGTTAAATATTGTATTTTAAAAGATTAGTTTTAAATTACTGAATGTTAAAAACAGCTATATTGACACAAAATCAGCATATCAAATACATGGTATAAAAAGCCATTTTTTTCTAATGAGAACTAATACAACAAAAGCTGATTGATAAATTGTCTTAACCTTGTATTAAATTGGCTTTAAGAAATTAGTCTTGGTACAATTTTTGAATTGCTTGTAATTATAATTATTTGATTCTTAAAAAATCTAGTTTATTACTATTAACTTGTCCTCACACATATATGCCAGGCCTTTTCCACGCAGGTATCTTAAATTTGTAGAAATTAGTGACTGTTCTCAAAACATTTAGGTCCTAGCATATTATTTTTTCTTTCAGGTAGGTTTGCCAAAATATTTGCCAAAGGTAATTATAATAAATTTCTATTTGTAATGTCAATAAAAAATATAGCATTCCATTGTTAAATATTTCTATCAACAAGCTCAGTACTACATTTTGTGTCAATAGTTTCTGGTTTTCTTAAACTTTTTCAAAGAGCTGCAAAGATAATGTTAAAATAACATTATGGTTTATAACATCAAAAAATAAAAAAAGGTAAGGGAAATTGACCCAAAGTCTTAAATTTCACGAAACCACGTTTCCTATCATGAAGTAATGATTTAACACTTTTGTAGTACTATAATTTTGACTGGGGGATAGGGTGGGGAGAGGACTAAAGGAAGAAGGGTAAAAATAATTGCTCTTTTTATTTCGAAATTTCTCCAACTACAATGTTTATGTTTTGAAAAACACTCAAACTTTCAGAAAAGTTGCAATAAGTCCAGTACAAAAAACCTTTTTCTCCTGAATTATTTGAGACTAAGTGGATGATATGTTGTCCTTCACAAATGTGTTAATGAATATTTCCTACAATGTACAATTCTTCTACATATTGCAATAAAACCATCAAAATCAGAATAATAGTATTGATACATAATGCAACCTAGTTCTCAGACCCTGTTCAAGTTTCACTCATTGTCCCAACTATATCTTTGATAATAAAATGATGCAGTACAGAATCATTTGCATTTAGTTGCCTCCTTCTCTTTCTGGAACAGTTCCTCAGACTTTCTTTGATATTCATGACCTTGATACTTTTGAAATGTATATGCAGCTAGTTTGTAGAATATCCTTCAATTTCAGTTTTCTGAATTTTCCTTATAATTAGAGGCAGGAAATGCATTTTTGCAGGAATATAATAGATGTAATACTGTGTTCTCATTGAATCCTATCAGGTGTGTGCAATTTCAATTTGTCCCATTGCTGATGATGTTCACTCTGATCATTTGATTACAGCGGTGTCTGCCAGGCTTCTCCTCTGTAAAATTATACTTTTTCACTTTTGTTCTGATAAATTTTATGGGGAGGTAACTTAAAGCAATATAAATATCCTGTTTCTGATTAAGCTATCAATTTACTTATATGTTTCAGCATGAATGAATGATTTCCTATGTTATCCAGTGGTTTATAATCTGTTATTATCATTTATTTTGCAGCTCACATTGAGCCATTTTGGCCAGTGGGAGTTCCTTCAAGTTGGCTTTTTGTTGTTGTGGTTGTTCTGTTGATGTCTCCCCATTAATCTTGAAGCACTTTCATGCTTCCTGGCAGAGCAGTACTTCCTTTGCACCTCCTATACCAGAGCCTTGGGATCAACTTTTTTTTTCTTTTGAGGAGCCCTGATTTCTTTTAGTAGAAAATGGCATTTAAAAACCAATACTTTAATCACTTTTGGGTGTCACTGCTCAAAGAGTTAGTTAAAGAAACACACATATACACACATACCTATGCTTGTAGGAGAGAAAAAAAATTTCTGTCTACCTTACAAGATTCTTAATTGGGATAGATCTCTATACCAAAAAACACATTATCAGGAGAAAAACAAACAGAAATTTAATAACATGTATACCTCATGTATACATGGGAGATACCCAGAGAAATGAGTAAATCTCCAGGAGGTGGCATTGAATTCAAGCTTAAATACCTTTGTCCACTGAAACAAAGAAAGAAGGCTGCGGGGAAGCCCAGCAATGGAGATTTGACCAAAAAAGAGCACAGTTTATTACGCAGATTTAATCAGTGCTATCTTCATCTATTTGAATATCTAGTATTTTAGAGTCATCCTTCTCTTCCTGCTACAGAGAGACATCCTTAGAAGTGGAGATTTCCTTTATAGATATAAATTTCACTTACAGAAGAGTAACTTCTACTCTATTTTTAGAGCTTCCTTTATGTCTGTAGTTTCTCAAAATAATCAGCCAAAAATAATCCTTATGACAAATAGGCATATTTTAGGGTGTCACATTCTGGTCTTCCACAAATACACACATTTATTATGGATACACACACACACACACACACACACACACACACACACGGATTGGGTTCAGAGGACACTATCTTAAAACTATTGCATCTTGGCATTTGAGAAAATAGCAGAAGCAGGAAGAAAACTCTTGCGTTCCCCTCACCCTCCTCCCTTGAAGCAAGTCATAAGCCCACCCCATTTGAGAGGCACCCTGCACATACCTGGAGGAACAGAACATCCTTATCTCTGAAGACACAGAAAAGAATCTGGACAAACAGGCCTTGCTAAACTTCCCCCAGTTTATTACAATCAGACCAAACCTAAACATAAAAATACACAGATTTTCCTGTTTCTTTGGGTCCTCATTTCTGAAGACTTACATATCACGTAAAATTTATATGAAATACATTTAAGATTTTCTATTGTTCATCTGTTTTTTTTTATAGAGGCCACAGCCATGAACTTAGTGATTGAAAAAACAATTTCTTTTCTCCTACAATATATACACAGACTGATTCACGTCTATATTTATTTCTGTGTCTGTTACTGCATACCAAAAACATCAGTTTCCACTAATATATCTGATGAAATTCAGCATCACAGGGTTCATTTTGGATTTCCCTTTCTATATTTTTAATGTTCTTTTCTAACAGTGAGAAACTTATTGCCACCATGTTTAATATAGTGACTTATTTAATCAACATTGTATGTAATCCGTCTTCCATTTCTACCACCACTCCCTCATGGGGGCAGAACCCCTCCCCACCCAGCTCTGACTACCCATTCTGGGATATCTGTTTTGGAGACTATCTAACCATCTTGCACTGTGACACCCACTATCAATTCCCTCTTTCTACCTTAATTGAATGCCTTCCTCATCCTGTAGTGGTTCTGATACCTCAAGTTGCCTGTACGCATACCATCCTCGAACCAGTGCTGGACCACTTTCCTACATAAAAATCTTCCTTGTGCTTTCTGGGCTCTCACACTCCTCTCTAAGTCACCAGCCAGGTAGTTTGCCTGCTCACACACCTCAGCTCTAAACCCTGCTCCAGGCACTGTAGCTGCATCCCTCTTTCTTGCCTGGTTACTTTGCTTGGATCTATTGGATTTTGGCCTTCAATTGTTCATGAGGGGAAGGAAGAGGAAGAGAAGAAAGAAGAGATTTGCATTGTTAAAATTCTTTCTTACATGTACTTAGTATGTTTCACTTCCCAAGCAGAAACCTCAGAATATTTACAAGAAATAGGCCTAAGAACCTTTTTACTATGTAGTGGCAAATGAGTGATTTTGACATAGACAGTAAATCCTTTGGAAGTAAACAGAATAAAACAAAATACCTTCCACAGTATCAGGCATCAACTTTTACATTAAAAATATGTATAATATTGTGCAACTGACAGTAAGAACAAACGTGATATTTGAATTTAATCTTGTTTTTTTTTTTTTATTTTGAACAGCTTCTAAATTGTTTTAATGCCAAGTCACCCATTTCAACAAATGTTCTAATAGGGAAATTTCAGAGAAAAAAAAATATTTCAAGGTAATGTGAATAGTATACTACTCCAAGCCCCTTTCAGTTTGGCAGGACTGTTGAAGAATAGAATGTATAACCCTTAGCCTAGTTTTGCCTAACCTACAAACTTTAGTTTGTTCGTTGAACTTTAGATAAAAAAGAAAATGAGAGGTTTTATTTAAAAAAAGAATTAAATATATTGAAGAAAAAGCAACTAAAACAAAATAGAACAAAAAACCGATAATAAAAACAAACCACACATCACACACCATGTAACACAAACAAGTTGTTTTTTTGTTTGTTTGTTTGTTTTTGAGATGGAGTCTCCCTCTGTCGCCCAGGCTGGAGTGCAGTGGCGCGATCTCGGCTCACTGCAAGCTCCACCTCCCAGGTTCATGCCATTTTCCTGCTTCAGCCTTCCGAGTAGCTGGGACTACAGGTGCCCGCCACCATGCCTGGCTAATTTTGTTAACACAAACAAGTTTTAATAAATATTAGGTCAATCTCAGTTGAGAATAACATGGCTAGTCATTAGTTTTACGATTTTGGTGTTATATTTGTGCATTAATGAACATACTCTCAGCAATTTGATCATGGTCACTGTGTTTCATGTATCAGATATTTAGAATAAAATGAAGACCAGGGTCAATTTTATTGACAGTAAATCTGGGAGTTACCATAGCAACTTTTGCCATATGATAACTGTGGTTGATCTTAGAAAAGCAATCGTGATTTCCTTCTGGGGCCCCTGGGTTTTTATATTAATCTCCTCTATGTCTAAAGGCATGTTTTAAAAAATATTTTCAGTTTTCTTAAGATAAGGATAATAAGAACAGATTATCACTTTAAATGGTACTGTACTCTCCAGTAAATTGTAAAATGTCACTTATTCATTTCTTTCAATAATTATAATTTCCAAGATCAGTACATCGCTAGCATATATTTGGTTGTGTTTTCATCATAGGAGATTATCCGCCTTATATAATTGTAGATTCTGGTTGCTTTAGCAACAAAATGTCTGCTTTAAATTTAGAAACTCATTTAATTTCTGTCACTTTATTCTTCACTGTTAAGGAGACAAGCTGTTTTCTATTAAATAAAAAATAAAAAGAGTATAATGGGTGAATTCTCAAGATCTGTTCTTGGCTTCAGTTTAAGCTAAGGGGAGAGTAACAATCAATTTTGATGAAAAGCAAAAGATTTTTATATATAGGTAGGCTCTATATTAGAGAAGTAAATGCAGTGAGGAAACAGATTCCTTAGTTATAGATTTCATGGAGATGCGATCAATGCCATCCATGGAATTTATTTTAACAAGGTGGAGCTTTAGAAATGTAGAGAACCGGGCTGGGCACAGTGGCTCACGCCTGTAATTCCAGCACTTTGGGAGGCCTGAGGCAGGTGGATCACCTGAGGTCAGGAGTTCAGTACCAGCCTGGACTACATGGTGAAACCCTGTCTCTACTAAAAATAAAAAATTAGCTGGGCATGGTGGCAGGTGCCTGTAATCCCAGCTACTTGGGAGGCTGAGGCAGGAGAATCGCTTGAAACCGGGAGGTGGAGGTTGCAGTCAGGTGAGATCGCGCCACTGCACTCCAGCCTGGGTGAAAAGAGTGAAACTCTGTCTCCAAAAAAAAAAAAAAAAAAAAAAAAAAGTCAATGTAGAGAACTGGTCTATAGAGTGGGCTTTGCTAGTGCTTCCTTAAAGAAAGGTGTATGCTGCTTCTAAAAGATCAGTTTTTAAACTGTTAAAACATAGCCTCATAGAAATAGATAACAAACATGGGTTGCAGTTTTATTTAACTCATCAGTGAGGTAACAAGCAGAATGACAAGGATTGTCTTTGAGGAATCTATGAAGAACTGGGATTTATATAGTCAATAAGGAAAGAAAGAATGATATAAGGCTGATGTCCTATAGGACAATGCTAGGTAAACTATCTCTACCAGGCAAGGTAGAAAAATCACTGCTTATCAGTTTTCTATAAGTTAACCTCTAACTTTACAGGGCTGTTAAAACGCTTAGGCCTGAATCATTTATGGATAGTATGTCATACAAAGTTACATTTCCTCAGGAGAGTAAAAAGAATTAATACGATGGAACTATCAGAAAGTGCTCTGTCATAATATTAACAATCATCATCCTTATCATTCTGTCTTATTTCTAACTTTTGGATTTTTTTCTGCCACATTTTTACACTTTAATACTTCCAATAAATCCAATAAATGTGTCAGAAAAATAAAGTTATTTTTCTAAGAAAGTTATTAAGAAAATAAGAATAATGCTGAGGTCCTCAGATTCTTTAGAGGATCACATAGATATTAGAGAAGAATCATATTCTAATGTCATAAGATCAACAGACTCAGCTTTATCCTCACCTTCTGTTGGTGGATTGGTTTGTTTGATTACTGTTTAGTCAGAGAACTTGAGTATAAAATCTGAAAGGAATGTTAGCAAACATATATTTACTTTTGGTACAGTTACGAAAACTGAGGTTCAATAAATTACAAATTGCCTAAGAGTTCATTGCAAGTTAGTGACTAAATTTTTATCTCCTAAAAACCAGCAGTGGATCTTTTCTTCTATTAACACATTTGTCAACTTGAATACCATAAATAAGTGCCCCCAGAGTACTTATTTATTGCCAAAGAAAAAGGAACAATGAAAGCGGTATCCTCTAGGGAACTAATAAAAAGTTGAGAATAATGGTGATCTTAAAACAAAATAGTCTCAGTATGCAAAGTTGACCTCTAAATTTCAATTGGCTGCAACCAGCACTTTCTGGAGAGTATTTTCTTGGCAGAAATTCATGATAATTTAAATAATACATTATCTACCATAAGCATTTTCAAATAATGAATGTCACTTTATTGGAAGTCAAAATGGGAAGTTTTCCCGGGCATATGGGAAAGGCTAAAGATGACAATTTGAAGTTTCTTGCATTCTGTAGCAAATAAAGATGCATGGCAAAAGCACAAAAATATAACTGAATACATTCTATTAAAAATAATTGCAAAGTAAAAGTTATTATTTTTTGAGGAAAAAGGGGAATTTTTTATCTTAACTTTTTGTTTCCCAATTGTTAAACAAGACATATAAGCCAAGATACTCTTTAGCTTCAAAATGCTACAACTCTAGATATGAATTGTTGTATTCAATTAGAAATAAGATGGCTTGGCCAGGTGCAGTGGCTCACGGCTTTAATCCTAGCACTTTGGGAGGCTGAGGCGGGTGGATTGCCTGAGCTCAGGAGTTCGAGACCAGCCTGGGCAACATGGTGAAACCCCGTCTCTACTAAAAATACAAAAAATTAGCTGGGCGTGGTGGTGGCGTGCGCCTGTAATCCCAGCTACTCAGGAAGCTAAAGCATGGGAATTGCTTGAACCCAGGAAGCAGAGGTTGCAGTGAGCCGAGATCATGCCACTGCACTCCAGTCTGGGTGACAGACTGAGACTATGTCTCAAAAAAAAAAAAAAAAAAACAAAGAAAAGAAAGAAACAAGATGGCTCATGTTTGCCACATAATGCATTTACTCAGTTGCAAGCATAAATTGTACTGAAAAAGTAAGTGTGCAAGAAATGTCACAATACCTTTTATAAATACAAATGAATCTGACGCTAAGCTCTCATTCCATTGGGTTGATGGGAAATTCAGTCTCACTTTTTACTGGGATTCTCCTCCCTCCACTCCTCCCCTCCCCAGGTCTTGGAAAGGTCAAGAGTGTTTAATGTGGAGTGAGGTATTTCCTGTCATCATAGATTTGGTGATCCTATTATCTAAATCCACAGAGTCTCCTGAAGGGAGCCTTTGCTGAGAACAAGGATTTCAGACAAGCATCCCTTTGGGGTCATTGCCAATTCTCATCGCTGAGAACGCAGAGAACTTTGGTAGTGAAACTTCCAAGCCCCCCAAACAACCTCCTCCTGTTTTTAATCTGGGGACTAATGTCTAATACATCTACTTACCTCAGGGGCTTTCCGCTTTCCTCCTTCTCTGGTATAATCTGGCATAATTTCCTTAATAAATCTAGATTTTCAGAAACAAACAATGGTAACTGTTCCTTAGACAACTTTAGATTTTAAACCTGGATAACTTTTTAAAACAGGTTAGAAAGAAAATTACAGGCAGAATTAAATACAAATAATAACTCAATAAATTATTCTTCTATTGTAATTTTTAAAAATGATATATAATTCAGAATTTTATACAGTATTGATGTTGCCATAGCAAGCATAGGTATCATAGATTAGTTTTCAAAAAAATATAAATTAGTAAAACCCAAAGGACTTAGAAATTAGGTTTTGTTACTGCTAAAATAACCTACATTAGGGAAAACTTGAGTGTTAACTTTCTTTTGACTGCTACTTCTATGAATGGTTTTACTACATTTATTTTATTCATGAAGTGTGATTTTGTTTTGACCATTATAAAATGGTAGGAATGATTACGACTTTATAATATTGATGTATTCCTCTGATTCTCATCATTTTCTTAGAAAATGAGAGTATTTCAGTGCTTAAGATGTGGAGAGAAAATCCCAAATCATCTTAAATAGGGTCATTTTTACTATATTTATCTTTATTGGAGAGACTTTCAAGGTTTATCCCGGAGAATCCATTAAAGCCTCTTATCACAACACATTCATTATCAAATAAGTTATTTGATTTTAGCTCTCTTCTTTCTAATTTCGTGCAAATATAGCAGAGCAGACTACTCTGGCTTTGTCAGCCCCTTTTCACATGTTTGTACTTATTCAGTGCAGGAAGCCAAGATATATTTGACCTCAGTTACCTTTGTCTTCTACAAGCTTTCCCACAAAACCATCCAGTTTTAATGCCGTACCCACCTCCCTTTTTTTTAACTCAATGTTTACATAAATCCTTTTCCAAACCAGTTTATATGACAGTTTCTAATTTGCTGCAACATGAAAATTGGAGAACAAAGAACTTAATGCCAAATGTTCAAGTTATTTAGAATTTCTGTATGTCAACACCAAGAAGGATAAACCAGTTCTCAGCCCAAGTGTTGCCAAGTCAGATCATCAGCACCTGTGTATTATGATAGATATATTTCTAATATAGTCTTGGAAACATTTTAGCATTATTATAACTGGAGGACTGGGGGAAATTGTGTTTGTATGTGAAACTATAGTTCAAGCAATGAGATTCCTCTGTATCAAAAAATAGTTTCTCTAAATATCTGATGCAGTGTCCATTTTATAGTTTATGTTTAATAAACTACAGAGATGCTCCAATTATAGTGGAACTAAGAAACTGATCTGCACCAATTCTTATTTAGACCTGTGCTAACCTCTTCATTTTCTTAATCAGAATTAGCCCTTTTATTTTAACTGAGTTTATTAGGTACCTTTGTTTACAGATTCACCTCTCATTTCTTCCTTTAAGGAGTTTTGCTTATTCAGTACTCCTGCCAAGAACTGCTTCTGAAGTTGTTGGCTTTTTGATTTTTGCACATTCTTTCTAAATTCATCTCCTTCATTTTTATCTATTGAACTATTACTCATCCTGTGAGTTCCAACTGAAGTTCTGTCTCCATGAGACATCTCTTCATTATCTCAGTTGGTTCTGTCCCCTCTGAGTTCATACAGCATTTTGGTTCCTCTTCTACACACTTTGAATTTGAAGTTTTTTGAATAAAAGTAATATCTCCCTGACTAGATTCTAAGAGTCTTAGTGAGCAAGACAGTCTGTTGTGTATTTTGGAACAGATACTATTCCAATTTCAAAAACATAGTAGTCATTCAATATTTAATTGTTGAATGAGTGGTAAAGGCTACATATAGCTATCTCTTTGAAGGCTATTTCTCATCTAACAATAGCCCCCATCACATTATCAAAACAAAAAAATTTAGAGTGATTGAACACTAACCATTGCAAAACAGGTTTCTACTTTTCCTTGCTTCAGCTGCTTTTCTGCTTATCTGTATTCTCTTGACCCTGACTTCCTGTTTTTCATATTATCCCCACATGATGCAAGAAGTATGGAAAATCAGGGGCAAGAAGTCAATGTCTTAGTATTAAGATCAGTCAGGATTTTTCTACTTGCTAGTCTCCTACATCAAGCTACTTACATATCTGCATTCCTGACTCTTGCTTTTCCTGGCCTTTAATTGCTAGTACTGTCTTCCACCTCAATGGGCATTATTAATTTTCATCTCTGTCTTGACAACAGAGGGTAATTGACTCCCAGGCTGTTTTGTGGGCTCCTGTCCTTCCCCAAGACTCTTTTTAAAGAATATGTCTTCCACCCAGCCTTATACTTACCCCTGCCTCCCCTGACAAGTCATGTATTGCTGCCTCTACTTCAAAATAAACCAATGGGTGAGGGTGAAAAGTTGAGACAAGGATTGAGAAGGAAGGATCAGTTATAAAAATGGGAATTAAACTGTAAAACATATTATATAGGTGATATCACTAGGCTCAAAGAGATGATGAAGTAACTTGCCCAATGGCACTCAAGTGGCAGAACGGTGAGTTGAGTTCCCTGTACACTTAGTAATTAGATAGAGAAAAATTGTTGAACAAGTAGAAATGATTTTAACTCAAATATATTAACTAAGTTGCTGGGTATTTCCAATTTTTATAGGAGTAGCTGAGATGATTGTCTTCAGCTGAGGTTATGGAAAGGGACACTGGGACTGGTTAAACATGTCACAATGGTAGTATCTACATGTCTTCTCAGAAATGTTTCCAGAACATACGTTGTCCAGGGGAAAGAGAAGAGCCTTCACCGGTAAAGTTTAGGGGGTCTTATGAGAACTTGTGTGATACGCAGATTTCTTTTTAATCTCAAAACTACTATTATTTCTTCTGCAGGAGATTGGGTTTTATCTGAAGATCATAGGTCTTCAGTGTTGTAGGTGGTAAATCTTCCAGGAAGTTTGTGTGTCTAATCATAGAAATGTGCCATTTAATCATCCTTTCTTTGTGCTTTGGCACAGCTACCAAATTTCAAGATGAATGGGGCATATTTTTAGGTGGGTCAAGGGAAAACTTTCCTGTAGTCATATATAGGCAAGTGGGCAGATGGTTTATTATATGGATGTCATGATGGGTATTATTTGCTATGATATGTTATAGAAAAGGCTTTCAAGACAAACTGCCATCAACCAAATGTTAGAAAAGCTTGCTTTTCGTGTTTGTTCCCTTTGATTTTCTTAGTGTTGACAGTGAGTTTACAGTGCCAAATTCACTGTTGCTAGCATACACTTTTCTCGTTCAATACTAAATTTCATTGGGTAAAAGAAAGCCAAGTGGAAAGAATTCCATTTGCATGTGTAAAATGATTCACAATCCAAAAGAGAGAATTATTTAAGAAATACTATTTCTTTTACTATTTTCTGCAACCTGGCAAGTTAGGAAAGGCAGAAAAAGCTACTTTATCTTACGTTATCATGTCTAAAACACTAAAAGCAATGGCAACAAAAGCCAAAATTGACAAATGGGATCTAATTAAACTAAAGGGCTTCTGCACAGCAAAAGAAACTACCATGAGAGTGTACAGGCAACCTACAGAATGGGAGAAAATTTTTGCAATCTACTCATCTGACAAAGGACTAATATCCAGAATCTACAAAGAACTCAAACAAATTTACTAGAAAAAAACAAACAACCCCATAAAAAGTGGGCAAAGGATATGAACAGACACTTCTCAAAAGAAGACATTTATGCAGCCAACAGACACATGAAAAAATGCTCACCATCACTGGCCATCAGAGAAATGCAAATCAAAACCAAAATGAGATACCATCTCACACCAGTTAGAATGGCGATCATTAAAAAGTCAGGAAACAACAGGTGCTGGAGAGGATGTGGAGAAATAGGAACACTTACACTGTTGGTGGGACTATAAACTAGTTCAACCATTGTGGAAGACAGTGTGGCAATTCCTCAAGGATCTGGAACTAGAAATACCATTTGACCCAGTCATCCCATTACTGGGTGTACACCCAAAGGATTATAAATCATGCTGCTATAAAGACACATGCGCACGTATGTTTATTGTGGCACTATTCACAATAGTAAAGACTTGGAACCAACCCAGATGTCCATCAATGATAGACTGGATTAAGAAAATGTGGCACATATACACCATGGAATATTATGCAGCCATAAAAAATGATGAGTTCATGTCCTTTGTAGGGACATGGATGAAGCTGGGAACCATCATTCTCAGCAAACTATCGCAAGGACAAATAACCAAACACCGCATGTTCTCACTCATAGGTGGGAACTGAACAATGAGAACACTTGGACACAGGAAGGGGAACATCACACACCGGGGCCTGTTGTGGGGTGGAGGGAAGGGGTAGGGATAGCATTAAGAGATATACCTAATGTAAATGATGAGTTAATGGGTGCAGCACACCAACATGGCACATGTATACATATGTAACAAACCTGCACGTTGTGCACATGTACCCTAGAACTTAAAGTATAAATAAAAAAAAAGAAAACAAACAAACAAAAAAGAAACTGAAGCCTAGACAATTATATGACCTGCCTAAGATAACAGATCATGTGAGACAACCAGGACAGCAACCATACTACCCATGGAGACTTTTTAACTCCTTCCCACTTCTACTAGACTATAAGCTCCATTAGGACAGAAATCTTATCTCTAATTTTTTCCATATAGTACCATCAGCTCTAATTTTTATAATTGTTTGTTGAATAAATTCTCCCCAACTATAATATAATTAACCATTCATATTTGTTTCAAATAAAATATTTTCCTTCATTCTTCCCTTCCTTTCTCTCTCCTTTCCTCTCTCCATTCTTTCTTTTTTTCCTGTTTCCTCTCCCCTTTTTTATTAGTCCATTTTCACACTGCTGATAAAGATATACCCGAGACTGGGCAATTTACAAAAGAAAGACGTTTATTGGACTTAAAGTTCCACATGGCTGGGGAGGCCTCACAATCGTGGCAAAAGGGGAAAGGCATTTCTCACGTGGCAGCAGACAAGGGAAGAGCTTGTGCAGGGAAACTCCTATTTTTAAAAATCATCAGATCCGTGAGGCTTATTCACTACCACAAGAACAGCTTAGGAGAGACCTTCCGCCATGATTTAACTACCTCCCACCAGGTCCCTCCCGCAAGGTGTGTGAATTCAAGATGAATTTGGGTGGAGACACAGCCAAATCATATCATTCCACCTCTGGCCCCTCCAAAATCTCATGTCTTCACATTTAAAAATCAATCATGCCTCTCAGCAGTCCCCCAAAGTCTTAACTCATTTCAACATTAGCTCAAAAGTCTATAGCCCAAAGGCTCATTTGAGACAAGGCAAGTCCCTTCCACCTATGAGCCTGTAAAATCACACCTGTAATCCCAGCACTTTGGGAGGCTGAGGTGGGTGGATCAACGGAGGTCAGGAATTCATGACCAGCCTGGCCAACATGGCAAAACCTCATCTCTACTAAAAATACAAAAATTAGCTGGGCATGATGGCACATGCCTGTAATCTCAGATACTCAGGAGGCTGAGACAGGAGAATCGCTTGAACCCAGGAGGCGGAGGTTGCAGTGAGCCGAGGTAATGCCACTGCATGCCAGCCTGAGTGACAGAGCAAGACTCTATCTCAAAGAAAAAAAAAAAAACAAAAAAACAACTCAAAAGCAAGTTAGTTAGTTCCTACATATAATGGGGATACAGGTATTAGGTAAATACAGCCATTCAAAATGGGAGAAATTGGCCAAAACAAAGGGGGGCACAAACCCCTGCAAGTCCAAAATCCAGTGGGGCAATCAAATCTTAAAGCTCCAAAGTGATCTCCTTTGACTCCATGTCTCACATCCAGGTCTTGCTGATGCAAAAGGTGGGTTCCCGTGGTCTTAGGCAGCTCTGCCCAGGTTTTGCAGGGTATAGCCTCCCTCCCAGCTGCTTTCGCGGGCTGGTGTTGAGTGTCTGCAGCTTTTCCAGGTGCACGGTGCAAGCTGTCAGTGGATCTACCATTCTGTGTTGTGGAGGATGGTGGCCCTCTTCTCACAGCTCCACTAGGCAGTGCCCCAGTGGGGACTCTGTGTGTGGGCCCCCACCCCACATTTCCCTTCTTCACTGTTCTAGCAGAGGTTCTCCATGAGTGCCCTGCCTCTGCAGCTATCTTCTTCCTAGATATCTAGGTATTTCTGTACATCCTCTGAAACTTAGACAGTGGTTTCCAAACCTCAATTCTTGACTTCTGTGCACCCACAGGCTCCACACCACATGAAAGCTGCCAAGGCTTGGTGCTTACACCCTCTGATGACACAGCCTAAGCTGTACCTTGACCCCTTTTAGTCACAGCTGGAGCAGCTGGGACACAGGGCACCAAGTCCCTAGACACAGCACAGGGACCCTGAGCTCAGCCCATTAAACCAATTTTTCCTCCTAGGTCTCCATGCCTGTGATGGGAGGGGCTGATGCAAAAGTCTCTGACATACCCTGGAGACATTTTCCCCATTGTCTTGGTGATTAACATTCAGCTCCTTGGTTACTTATGCAAATTTCTGCAGCCAGCTTGAATTTCTCCTCAGAAAATGGGATTTTCTTTTCTATTGCATTGTTAGGCTGCAATTTTTCTGAACTTTTACGCTCTGTTTCCCTTTTAAAACTGAATGCCTTTAACAGCACCCAAGTCACATCTTGAATCCTTTGCTGCTTAGAAATTTCTTCTGCCAGATACCCTAAATCATCTCTCTTAAGTTCAAAGTTCCACATATCTCTAGGGCAGGGGCAAAATGCTGCCAGTCTCTTTGCTGAAACATAACAAGGGTCACTTTTGCTCCAGTTCTCAAGTTCCTCATTTCCATATGAGGGTACCTCAGCCTGGACTTTATTGTCTGTATCACTACCAGCATTTTGGCAAAGCCATTCAACAAGTCCCTAGGAAGTTCCAAACTTTCCCACATTTTCCTATCTCCTTCTGAGCCCTCCAAACTGTTCCAACCCCTGTCTGTTACCCAGTTCCAAAGTTGCCTCCAAATTTTCAGGTATCTTTTCAGCAGCATCCCACTCTACTGGTACCAATTTACTGTATTAGTCCATTTTCACACTGCTGATAAAGACATACCCGAGTCTGGGCAATTTACAAAAGAAGGAGGTTTATTAAACTTACAGTTCCACATGGCTGGGGAGGCCTCACCATCATGGTGGAAGGTGAAAGACATGTCTCACATGGCAGCAGACAGGAGAAGAGAGCTTGTGCAGGGAAACTCCCATTCTTAAAACCATCAGATCTCATGAGACTTATTCACTATCATGAGAACAGCATGGGAAAGACCTGTCCCCATGATTTAATTACCTCCCACAGGGTCCCTGCCATAACAGGTGGGAATTCAAGATGAGATTTGGATGGGGACATCACCAAACCATATCACCTTTCTTTCTCTTTTTTTAAGAACACATGATCTCAGTTATTTCTGAATGCCAAAATGCTAGGACAGTGCCACATATCAAATACAGTTAAAGTTTGTTGAATGAGGGAACAAAGAAATGGAGTCCCATGTCTACCATCCTTTACACTGGATGATACTATCTCCTGCAAACATCCAATTCCTAACGAGCTACATTTATTTAATAACTGTGTCTCCTTCCGTGAAACATGCTACAATAAATTTCACAGCTCTTTATTAAGATATAACATAGATCATGTGGAGGTGAACGTTACTCAACCAGCAACAGGGAAAAGATCATTGAGGAGGACTCTCCCCAGTGCTGCCCAACAACGTTGGTTCCTCTTTTTGGGGTTGCTGCAGCTTGGATTACCTTTCCTGCAAATCATCTAAAGTAGCCCCAAAAGAGTTAAATAAACTGTTCATTCTGTGCCTGTAATACTTGCTGAAGAACTACTCAAAAGACAACATAAGCCATGACAAACAGTTGAAATCTTATTTAGGAAAGTAATTATGACTCATCTTATTGGTAATTGTTAAGTATTGGAACAATCTTCCTTTTGACATTTATTCTTCCTCTGAGTTCCTAAGGTAATTTATTGTCTGTAACACTCATCTGGCACTTATTTGCTGCTTTAAAAGTTATTTAACTTTTCCTGCTTTTTCTCTTCACAATTGTAATTTAGTTAGAAGCAGAACAAGTATGCTACCCAATGGAGGAAATGAAGTAAGGTGAAAAAAAGAAAGGATTTGGGGTCACGTGTGGCATTTAATCTTACCTTCTTTCATTACCAGCTGCTGGAATTTAGGCAAGTTATTTTTTTCGAAGTTTGCAATAACAATAATCCTACAAGATTGTTGTGGGATTAAATGATGAATTGTAAAATGTAAAAAAAACCCAAAAAACCCTAAAGATGGAAGTGCATTTTTAAATATCAAGCTCTTGAGAGGGGTGTGTGTGTGTGTGTGTGTGAATTTCCCTAGGAATGGCAATGGCTTTGGAATAGTGAGGAAGGGAAGTGTGCCCCTCCTGTGAATTGAATCAGAGAAACTGTGTTAGTCAAGTATCTGGGTTGTCATGGTACCTAGTCCATGTGGAAAAGGAATGGATCAATAAGTGGCACAAATTCAGGGGGAGGTAAAGATGTATCTTTCTACATGTATAGATCAGGGTCCAATAATACCCTTCTTAGAGAAAATACTGCTAATGTTAGATCAGTAACGGGTCAGCCCACGACAGCTTTTTTGGTGGTCACTGGTAGGCTCCACCATGGGAGAGGAGAAGAAACTTTGAAATAAATCTGAGAAGGAGGTGGTGACACAAAGAAGCAGTCTCGGGGACAAACAGAGTACAGTGATTTTAGTAGAGCCTAGGGTTAGCATAATGGCAAAAAAAAAATCTAAAAATAAAATAAACAAATGTTTGAAGCCACCTACCTGTTAATTTAAGAAAGTATTTGGCTGCAACCAACAGAAAACATGACCAAGAATAACTTTGAATACTAATTTTTTTTTTTTTTTGCATAGTCACAATTCTAAAATGGACAGTCAAGGATTGGTGCCAGTGTTTAAAATGCCATGAGATAACTTGCTATTTTCTATCTTTCCACCTAGATATTCTTTTTGACCTTTATCTTTATGGTTTTAAATGGATGATGTACCTGCAAATTTCACGTTAAGATTCCGCAAAGGTGGAAAGTAGAAAAGCTGAAGTCATTCTTTTCTTGAGGAGTTATTATTTTATTCAAGAAGGAAAGCTCCTTCCAGAGATATTCACTTACTTGAAGAATTGTACAGGACTATCATATGACTACCCTGACTGTAAAAGCAAAATTAAATGTTTGCATTTCCAGGCTCTCTAAAAGAAGATAGCAAGAGAGAAACCGGTGGATTTTAGTGGGCGGGTTACCACGTATGGCACACAGCCCAAACATTAGCAATCTACATAGGACAATAGGAAAAAGAACTTGGTGGGAAGTGGTATGGATCAAGACAGGGCTCTCTTCATTGTGCTGGTTTGGAACACAGAATTAAAAAAACAAAACAAACAAACAAAAAAACCCAAATAGTTCCATTACCACTGGGGATGGATTTCCTGCACTTGTCTATTGCTTTGCTGATTAATGACTCTATGGATGCTGTCTTCCTACTTATATGGTTAAATATCAGCTATAAGGCATAGACATACTGATCATAGTACTTGATACAAAGTAAGAGTTCAAAAAAAATCAGCTTTATTCATCTCTATTTTTTGATGAATAGAGATCCCCTTTTCTACTCAGTGTACTTTTGATGGCTAAGAACAGAGGCACACTAAATTAACTTAAGGAAAAGTGAGGGTAGTTGTCTTTTCTCTCTGCTCCTTTTTCTCTTTCTCTCTATTTGACTTTGGACAGCTTTCTCTATGCATGGAGTCTTCACAAGTTTGGACCAGTGTGGCAAAGCACCATAGACTGAATGGCATATAAACAACAACAATTTATTTCTCACAGTTCTAGAAACTAGAAGTCTGAGCTCAGGGTGCTAGAATATTTGGGTTCTAGTAAGGGCCTGCTTTTGGTTGCAGACTGCCAAGTTCTAGTGTGTCCTCACACAGTGGAACATAGCGCTCTCTGAGATATCTCTTAAGGGGTGCAAAACCCATTTATGATAGATTCACCCTCATGAGATAATCACCCCCCAAAGGCCCCACTTCCTGATACTATCACATTGAGGGTTAGCGTTTCAACATATGGATTTGGGGAAGGATACAAACATTCAGTCCAAAACATATAGATAATATTGGTTTCCAATCAGGTCCCCATTGCACAACTTTTTCTTTGACCAAATTAAAATTCTATCAATAAAGTGAAGGTAATATGTACTTTTTCTTCTTCACATGTGATAATTAATGTATTATTTTTATAAGTGTAAAGATTCATACAAATATCTGTCACATGTGCTAGCTGTCTACTACTATTCATTCTTCTTTTTCTCCTTAATAATAACTTGTAGCTTTAGCTGGGCATATTGTCGATGTAAAAGTCTACACATCCCCTTATCCATTGCAACCAATGCCCATCCATGGGACAAAATTTTGGCCTATGAGTTATAAATTAATATACTATGTGTGACTTTTGGGAAAGTCTACTTAAAGGAAAGAGGCAAGCCATTTGAGACCTGGAATAACAACATGGTACTTAGAGTTATGGCAGCCATCTTGGACTAAAAGGATAAGGGTTTACCTAAGGGATATGGGAGAGAAACCTGGCAAGGATAAGGGAGGGCATCTGAGGAAATTGTGGAGCTGCTATACTAGTTCATATTCATAAAATTAAAAGGTATTGTTATTTAAGTCCAGCTGGAAATTCTCATTACTAATCAAATTGACAGCTTAATAAGTAGTACAGAAATTATAGGATGGTCAGCATCTGTACTCTAAAGCTAGAGAATTTTTGTCTGAGACAAGAGCAGCTGGTACCGTTGCATCTGATGTTGATAGTGATGAGTGGTGTATAATGACAGTGTAAGACAAGATGCTCCAGCACAGTGAAAAGAAATACTCCAAATGTGAATCCCTTGGCACAAAAATAAGAACTTAAAAACTCAACCTTTATGGCTGGGTGAAAGGAAGGCAAAAATCCTGGCCTGTCATTAATGCTAGAGATGAACCATAAATTTAGGATTATATTGAATGTTGGATACTTTATTTTTAGGAATGTATATCTAGCATCATCACCATCATTTTTGAAGTAACATATAATTTAGCAAAGATTGAATTCATATCTTTCTTATTCATTAAGATTTTCATGATTTAAATATGCATTTTGCATAAAACACTTTGATGTCCTAGAAATACTTTTATTTTTAAATTCTCTAAAGCTTTATATCTTAAAAAAAGGAAATGGGGATTTTTCTAGGAAAAAAATAAGTAAAAGTTTTAACATTTTGAAACATGATATTTAAATGAGTTTTAAATGCAGCAAAATATTATTTTATTTTCAATTGAACTGACGTATTCTTCAACTACTGACTTTTAAGTTTTTGCGTCTTCATATATCTAGGGACTTTCTTTATATTTACATACACACAAGGTAGTTATTAAATGCATATTTAAGGACATAAGAAAAGGTTATATTTGTGAAAATACTTAAATCATTTTTCATAAGCCCCTTCACTCCTGAGCACCTAGATTAAACTAGGAATATTTCAATGCTTCATAATTTAAAGGAAGTGATTTGGGATGGAGGAGTCCATGACTGATACCCTTTTTGAATCCCCCTTTACCTTCCTTGAAACTTCAGCATAGTGCTAGCAATAACAACTGCAGAGTATTACTTATTAAAAGAATTATAAATGTTTTACTGCCAATGTTCTAGAAAATGATTTGTTATCATTCAGAGATTTTATACATATATGAAATAAAATTTATATGCATAAAAATATACAAAAATTTATAAGTATATAAATATCATAAGTATGTAAATGTTTATATATTTTATAAATTCAGTAAGTTATACATTTTTATATGTTTATATGTTTTATGAATTTATATGAAATATACATATATATATATTTAACATGATGCAGCCCCCCTGTTCTCTCTTAACCAATGCATAGCTCTAATTCTGTCTAAAGGAAATGATTTGGGAGGGAGGAGTCCATGACTGATACCCTTTTTGTATCAGAGGTTACAAAATAAGACACTTTATTCAGTTATTCAACACTAAATTCTTATTATTGGATCTCAACTACTGAGGAATAGGCTGGCATCACTTCATATGGTATAAACTGTGGATTTGTGACTATTTTTAAAAAATCTTGCTTTACTGTAAATTCCCTAGCAACAGTCATTCTATTTTGTGTGCTACTGTATCCTCAGCAAGTAGAATATTATCTAATTCATTGTGAGTGCTCAATAAATATTTGTTAAATAAATTAATAAGGCAATTGGGTATTTTGAGTTGGAAATAAAAGAAATCCATGTCAAATTAAAATACAAAAGGGGTTGGAGCAAAGAATCCAATCAAGTGAACAGAAGGAAGACTGTGAGTGGGCCCCAGGCAGGGTTAATTCTAGGCTTCTATAGCACTGGAAGGTGATTATAGTTAGCAATATTGTATTATATAGTTTCAAATAGCTAGAAGGAGAATATTGAATGTTCCCAACACAAAGAAATGATAAATGTCTGAGATTATGAATATGCTAATTACCATGGCCTAATCAGTACACATTATATGTGTGGAAACATCACTGTGTACCCAATGAATATGTATACTAATTACATGTCAATTTAAAAAATAAAGTGAAGCAAAGTGGCCTGAGCCTGTAGTTCTAGCTACTTTGGTGGCTGAGACAGCAGGATCCTTTGAGGCCAGGATTTCAAGGCTATAGTGTACTATGATCATGCCTATGAATAGCCACTAATTTCTAGCCTGGGAAACATAGTGAGACCTTGTCTCTATATAATAATTATTAATATATTTATATAATTATTAACAAATTTTTATATTATTATTGTCTCAGTAATATATATCATATTAGTACTTGTGAAAGTACTAATAATTATTATTATTAACAATCTGAGTGTCACAGATACTGACCAATCAGTATGGTTGCATGCCCAATCAGATTAGAGCTGAGCCATAAACACTTGGTGCAGCCATTGTGAAAACTAATTAGCCCAAGCTCCAGGAATGACTGGAAATACAGCTTTAGATGCTGTTGGCAGTGTTTCCATCTCTTGACATTTCTTTAACTTTGTTTTTTATTTTCCTCATACTGGAGTGGCTTAATCCCTATGGCTGCAGACAGCACAAGAAGCTTTCTTACAAAAACGATTGTTAGACTAATATTCTTACTTTGTTTTACCAAAAAATGCAAGGGAAGGAAGACAGTATTGTTGAGCAGATTAAATAATAATGTCCATTACACTAGGTTTGCCATCAAAATTTTGGTAATGTGTTTCCCCCAAATATAAAAACTCTTAAGAGAGAACACCTAAGAATCCAAATATTTGTTTTATGCATAGTTTATTTTGGTAGAGGCAAATCTCATGGCAATATCCATTTGTTCCTCTGCATTTCCCAGCCTGCTTTGCAATTATATTAGAAACATGTAACTAGTCTGGATCAGTGGATTATATATGGATGTGACTGTGTGACTCAGGGCATCGTTAAAAGCTAGTGCACATTCTTCGTCTCTCTTGTACCTGGCCACAGAGATTTTGGAGTCCATGTGTATAGTTTCAGTTTGGAGTAAGATGACCTGTTCTACATTAGTCAACATTAGACTGTACAAAGATAACAAACTTCTACTTAAGCCCCGGAATTTTTTTTTTCTATTGTGACAACTAGCATTAATCAACCTGATAAATCTTTTTCTAATGTTGCTTGCTAGATAAAATGAAGACTTTGGATTTAGTGAATTTAGATTAAAATCGAAGTTATGCCATTTACTGTGATGTAATCTTGGACTAGTCTTTTGGTTTCTTTGAACCTCAGTTTTCTGATCAGTAAGATGTGGATGCTAATGCTGCCTATCTTATAAGGTTGTTGTAGGCATTAAATAAAATAATGTATAGAAAACACTTATCTTGGTGTCTGGTATAATAATAGCTAGCATTTTCATGGATCAGGCATGGGGAGGTAAATTATTTATATTAACACGTATAACCCTCAAAACAGCCTTATGTTGTGGGCATTATCATTATTGTCCTCATTTTAATTGAAGCACAGTAAGGTTGTATGACTTATCTTAGATCATCTCATAAAAATTTGACCCTAAGCAGTTTGGTGTCATAGTTGACCCTGAAAATTACTGCCTTTTACAGAACATTTTATAATTAAGTAATTTAACTCTTTTTACTCACAGTACTCTGACAGCGAGTGTGTGGGTTTCTTTTTTTACTTCAACAAATTATCCAACTCTTCAGATATTAACCGGGTGTCCCAGAATTCAATTCAATTTAAGGTTGACATTAACTACCTAGAGTGGGCACAGACCCCGCAGGTTAAGGGTTCAGTCCTACAAGACTGCTCCCACTTCAAACACCAGTCACAAGTCCCAGGTTTCCATCTATATTTCTGACCAAAATGCTGTAAATTAGGGATTCCAATGACCCTCTCCTCATGTTCAGTAATTTACTAGAATGGCTTGCAAAACACAAGGAAACACTTTACTTATATTTATCAGTTTATTATAAAGGATTCAACTCAAGAACAGCCAAATGAAAAAAAAATGCATAAAGGAAGGTATGGGCTGGGGGTGGTGCAGAGCTTTTATGCCTTCTCTGTGGGCACCACTTACCCAGCACCTCAATGTTTTCATCAGTCTGGAAGCTCTGAGAACCTTGTCATTTACTGGTTTTAATGGAGGTTTCATTATGCAAGCATGATTAATTAAATCATGGTTCATGGTGATCAACTAAATCTCCAGTTTCTTGTCCCTTTCCAGAGGTCAGGAGGTGGTGCTGAAAGCCCCATTCCTCTAATCCGACCTTGGTCTTTCTGGTTACCAGCCTTCATGCCGAAGCTATCTAGGAGCCTCCAGCTACTAGTCATATCACTAGCATTCAAGACAATCATCACTTGGGAGATTCCAAGGATTCTAGGAGCTGTGTGCCAGGAACTGGGGAAAAACCAACAACAAATACGTGTTTTTTATTAATATCACTATAATATTACTTTCTTAAATTTTGGTAATAGTAGAAGTATAGCGAGGAAAATACTTTTGTAATAAACTCTGCATTAAAATCTTGTTTCTAGCATGTACTAATCAAATGATAGTTGAGTAAGTTAATCAAACTATTTAGCCTTAGCGTCTTCATTTGAAAATGCCTAACATCAGAATGGTACTTACCTTAGATGGCTATTTTGAGGAATCAATGAGGTTATGCATATTATATATATATATAAAGCATCAGGAACAATAAACGTTAACTGTGGATATTGGATCCCTTCCTGTGTTTATTCTTTGATTTGTGCAGTAAGAACACAGAATGCGTTTGCTCCTCCTCGAAGAATCAGTCACATTAAGAGAAAGTAGTGTATGTCTTTTTACTCATTAAATGTATACATATTAAAAGATTCCTTTATTATTCATCTCCACCAGAATTCTTCCTCCATTGATGTTGTTGCATGTCTAAGGAACCATTTAGTTACCTTAAATAGTCAACAGAGACACAAATTTTTTTTTTAAATAAGCCTGACATAATGCAAAGGAGGCAGCTTGCCCTGATGGACAAGTGGCTCTTAATAAAGAGCCTCTCATCTTTCTTTCCTCTGTGTTCTTGTTCTCTTACACACAACTTTCTTTATAAGTTATGATACTTTAGTGCAAATGAATTACATAGAAATAAGGATCAGAACTCTAGAAGTGATGTTCTAGATTATCTGGCCTAATGTCATTTAAAGAGGAGAAAGCAAAGGTCCAGCAACTTGTGATTTGCCTAACAGAAGATGGTTAATTAGCATGATGGTAAACTCCTGGTCTCCCATAGCCCAGCGTTCTCTTTGGAACCAAATTTTCTCCTGTATTGGTAGTTACTTTAAATGCTTTTTCAGGGTAAATATGCATATAAATAATGGTACTTGGAGATATTTTAAAGATCAGAGACTTGTCTATTTCTTTATTTATTTAGGTTCACAGGGGCCCATATGAATTCCTCTTAGACATTAGTTCAAAATACTATCAAAATGTATTAAATGTCTAAAAGCATTTTACTGAAAGCTGGACATATACGTAATATGAGGCTAAATAAATGATTGCCTACATCTCTCAGGGAGGCTGGAAAAATTTCCTTTCTGATATCCAGTCCCATTTCTTTACCTTCTTAGTAGACATCTTTACCAAGTAGGTGTCTTGGTTTTGATGGCACCCAGAGTCAATAGGTCTAAATTAGAATTCTCTTTTCTTCCCTAACAGCTTCCCTTTGATCTGTCCTGTCTTCCTTATATCTGTCAACAATATTATCATTTCTCTAGCTACCCCAGCTGGAAACATTAATTCTAACTTTCATGTCTTTCTCCTTCAGCCACATTTAATCAACCAATATATTCAACCACCTTTTACAACCAATCCTGAATTTTTATATTATGTTAGCAATATTCTTACTAGATTTACTGGCCTCAGTGATATTGCCTTTCTTGAAAGCATCTGAAAATGGTCTTCCAGTTGAACTTTGTCCTCATTAATAATTACAAAACTATCAGTTGCCTCTTGCTTTTAAAAGAAATTCAGAACTTGAAAACAATCTTCTAGAACATGGCCCCAAGTTCCCAACTTATCTTTCTAATTTTGCTTTTTTGTTTGTTTTTCACCGATCTTTTACTCCCAGCAAATTGTTTTACTGATTAGTCCTTGAAAGCTATGATACATTCCCAGCTCTGGACTCTTGTTCGTATTTGTTATTCCAAGAAGATATTCCTCATCCTTCTCTTCTGTCCTATTCTTGAGATTCAACTTTTAAATTCTTCTTCTTCTTCTTTTTTTTTTTTTTTTTTTTTTTTGACGAAGTCTCACTGTTGTCCCCAGGCTAGAATGCAATGACGCAATCTTGGAATCTTGGCTCACTGCAACCTCTGCCTCCCGGGTTCAAGCGATTCTCCTGCCTCAGCCTCCTATGTACCTGGGATTACAGGCACCTACCACCACACCCTGCTAATTTTTGTATTTTTAGTAGAGATAGGGTTTCACCATGTTGGCCAGGCTGGTCTCGAACCCCTGACCTCAGGTGATCCGCCCGCCTCAGCCTCCCAAAGTGCTGGGATTACAGGTATGAGCCACTGCCCCTGGCCAAATTCTGCCTCTTCTAAAGAACTTTCCCCAATGGCTCCAGAGCACATGAGCTCTCTTTCCTTTGAATCACTTTGGTATGGCTGCTGTGTTCTACATGTTTAGCACTTATGTACTTATTTTGATATTTTAAAAGTATCTTGATTACTCATCAGACAACTAGCCAGTCAATTTCTCATGGGCCAGGTCTTTGAAACAGCTACTCTTTCAAATGTAGGATCCTCTCTATAGTAGGTGCTACAAAATATCTATTGACCCTGTCATAAAACAAAAACCCCACAAATCATAATTAATTAAACTAAAAGAATAAGAGGTTCTGCACGAAAACATAGAAGACTTTAGAGAGCAAGACAATTGTAAATTGAAAGTACCATTTTATTTCAACATGTATTGAGAATCTAGAATTTACTGGCCACTGTGCTGGTTACTGAGGACAGAGAGAAATTAGACACAGTCCTTGATATAAATGAAAGAAGAGAAGAAGGAGAAAGCTTCTAAACATGAACCTGAGTTTGTTTGGGAGTGGAGATGGGTGGCAGAGTGAGGTCACATGAGGGTTTTGGTAGAGAGGTAGAAGATATTTTCCTTTACAAGGTAGTCATCCCAGGTTTTATTTGGTTTCAACGTGGAGTAAAATGATGCAGTGTGAGGGTGCTATATGCATCTTTATCCAGCTCTGGGCTGTGCATGCAGTTGATGGCAGCAGGCCTAGTTTTCCATTGTTTATAATAACAAATGATTTTAAATGAATAAAAACCCCCTAAGTTCTGTTGATATAATAATAAGGATAACAAACAAAATTATCATTAGGTTTGTTGTACTTGCCCATCTGCAACTGTAACCATATTTCAGAATTTTATTGCTTAATTTAGAAATAGGTAACCCCAGCTGCCAAAAACAATTGAAAATGTCAAATGTAGGGGTACCAAACATAGCATATGGGCTGTAGTTGTACATCCTGGAGAATGACCTTAGTTGCTCTGCTCCTTTTCACTGCCTGAGAGTTAAAGGTCTCCTGCAACTTATGGCAGTGAATAATTTATCTGCAGTTAAAAAAAGTTTATTCATTGTATGTATGTATTGCTTTAATAAAGTTATAAAAATCATTCAAGTATAAAATTTCAAGAGCAAATTTATCACATTGATGGAGGCAAATATTTAATATCAATGTTGACTGATTAAGCAAATAATAAGAAGAATAACAACATACTGATGTCGTGATCATTCTGTCTTGCAATACAGACATAAACTTCCATAATGAATACAGAAATAAAACTTCCATAATACAGACAACCAAATTTATATAATTCTATGACTCTTCTAATACCTGTGAGAGAATTAAGATATTATTAAGCCATAGTTTCCTTTCTACTTCAGCTGAGGTTATCATCTTGGTTTTCTTTGCTGACTTTCCCCTCGCCTATACTTGTCCTTAATGTTGTTCTATCCAAGATTTTGTTGTTAGTTCTCTGCTCCTCTTGCTGGATGATCACATTCAGTATCTAGGCTTTAAATGTCACATAGTTGCCAATGATATCCAAATTTATATTTCCCGCTCTGACTTTATCACTGAACTTTAGGGCTATATTTACAACTGCATCCCAGACATCTCCAGCAGAACCCAAAATTTCTTTTATCCAGAATCGTTCTTCCCTCAAGTACCACTCTCAACCAAATGGCTTGAGCCACCTAAAAGATAGCTTGAATTTCTTTCATTTGAACTTATTCTTCACAAGTGCTGTAAGTAGCCTGAATCGGCTCATTTTTCTCCATCCCTACTGCTATAATTCTAGTCATGCCACCACTGTCTCTCATCTGAGATCCTGCCATGGCCTTTTACCAGTTCTTTCTGTTTTCTCCCTGGCCTATCTACAGTTCATTCTTTACACAGTTGCCAACAGTAGGTTTTAAAAATGCTTATGAAATCATATCATTTGCTTGCTTAGAGTTCTCAGATGGTTTTTGTTTATACTTAAATTATAAACTAATTCTTACCATGGCCCAGAAGTCCTTCTATGATGCAGCCCCTACCTTCTGCTCCCTTCACCTTGCCTCCTTCCTACCCCCAATAAACTATGCTGCAGGCACACTGGTCTTCCTTCTGTTCCTGGGATATACCAAACCTATTCTTGCTTTCTGGTCTTTATATTTGCTGTCTGCCTGGAAACGCTTACCCCTTGACTCCATTGTCATGACTGGCTTCTTCTAGGTATTCAGGGATCAGCACAGATGCTACCCTATCCATGAGGACTTTTCTGACCATCTACTCTTAAGTGGTCCCATTCTTCTCAGTCTTTATCTTTACTCCATTTAATTTTCCTCATGGTATTTGATATCACTCTGTTTATTAGTAACTAACCTATTATTAATTTGTCTGTCTTTTCCCATCTAAAATAATTTTTTCATAGCCTTTTTTGCATTATAGCACATCTAGGAAATGGCAATACAATTTATTCTCATTATTTGTTATAATATATCTTATAAAGTCATTGTGAACACTGAATTAGCAAATACCGACCCATTGCTCATGGAGGAAATGCAGAGTCAGGTTTTTACAAGCCTCTGGCCCAAAATTCTCATCAGCTCATCGATGTATAACTTTATTCTAGTCATGCCATTCTAGTTTCTGTTTAAAGACACTTAAAAAAATATATATTGGTCATTCATTACCACTGAGCTCATGGCCAACAACACTATAACTTATGTCTGAATAAAGTTTATCTCATACCAGGTGTTTTTTTAAGCTCTGTAAGGCATATTACAGCCTTCTTGGTGTTAGGAACATTAGACAGAACTTTGGTACTGTGCTTGGGAGTAACACTAAACAGGAAACACACCAAAAAATGGACAAAAATGTGAAAGACATGACACTAAATAGACTTCTTGCTTGTAGGACAGAAAGGACACTTGCTTATAGTATGAGAGTTGTAATAAGAATGAAGATTGCCATCTTGTTCAGACTCAGCCTGGAAAGTACATGTCAGAGAACCCAAAATAGTCACCTCTATGTGCATGTGTGTAAACGCCTGTGAAAACATTGTGAATATTGGTTCTGGGGTTACAAATAAATTTTGACAAGTAGGTAAATTAGCAAATATGGAATTAGTGAATAATGAGAATTGACCGTCTTTGTAGCACACACAGGGATAAATGGACTAGTGGCTTGCATGCCTAATAAACACCAGATAGTGATGTCCAGTCTAGTACATAATTGGATATGTAACTCTAGATTTCAGTGATCCAGAAAATTCAAACCCCATCTCAACCACCTAAAGAGCTAAGGGGATTGATATCTTGGTACAGCTCCAGTTCATTGATTTACCCCAACTCAGAAGGAAAGACTTTCTCTAGAGTGTTATCCTCAGGAGATGTTGCCTTCACTATTGTTATCCTGTTGCCTAGGACAAAGACTGGCACATAATACTTATTGAACAAATAAAATTGGGTTGAATTCTCATTCTTTAATGCTGAAACAAAAATAAGAAATGTATACAGAAAGAACATTTTTGTGTACATATCTATGCCTTTATTTGTATTGCACCTTTTGGAAGAATTGAGATATCTTAAAATAAAATTATTGACATTATAAGTCAAAAGTCCTTAATACTAAATGATAGACAAAAGTGAAGCAACAGAAGGAATAGGCAGGAAGAGGAAATTTTATCTAGTGATCTGTCTGTCTATCTAATCTTCCTGTAATCTATCTATCAATATAGCAGACTGGTCAATATTAAATCAGTTTCTCTTATACTAACACCATGATGGCTCTCTTTCTTTTGAAGCTTAAGTGTAAGAAATGCTTCTCACTTTGGGAGGCCGAGGCAGGTGGATCACGAGGTCAGGAGATATAGACCACCCTGGCTAACACGGTGAAACCCCATCTCTACTAAAAATACAAAAAAAAAAAAAAAAAAAAATTAGCAGGGCATGGTGGTGAGCGCCTGTAGTCCCAGCTACTTGGGAGGCTGAGGAAGGAGAATGGCGTGAACCCCGGAGGCGGAGCTTGCAGTGAGCCGAGATTGCACCATTGCACTCCAGCCTGGGCGACAGAGCGAGACTCCATCTCAAAAAAAAAAAAGTCTTCTATTTTAATAAATGTATTTATTTATTCTGTTCTATTCAAATTCTTTTATTTATTTTTGATAAATTCATGCTTCTATGAAGCATGCTGCTTCACATTACTTTGAAAAGAGGAAAAATACTGAGACTCCTGGTAGCTAGAGAAAAGAAGGAAATATGATAGACTGAATAGCTTTCTTTTTTTTTGGTAGAAGTAAATATCCTGTTTATAATGAAAGTGTTTTCTCTGAGTGAAATTTGCTTTCAGAATCTTTAAATAAGGAAACCTCAGCAAGTTACAAAAAATTGAGGGAAAATGCTAAAATGTATTGAATTTTATTAAGTGCCACATAATTTGCTGAATAACCTTTAATTTCTCCCATTCCTTTTTGAATTTTTACCATAAATCTGTGAAATATGCACTAGTATCATCTATTGGTAATGAAAGGGTAAAGGATTCTAGGTATATCTTCACTAGCCTTTACTTACTATTGAAAAAATAGTGTTAAATCTCAGATCTTTTCAGTTCTGCCAGAAGCCTGAGTGATACAGTCAAAGCATATAGCTTATTGGACTTTGTTAAACTATGAGGTTAAAGCTTTAAAATGATTTCTAGTATTTTTCCAAGGAAAACACTCTTCTATCTGTCCATGCCAGGCAGCAGCAGAAATAGTTTCATTGGTGCTAAGCCTGCATTAAGGAGACTAATGGCATTGGAAGTTATCTTCATAAGAAGGGTGAGACCTCACCATTCAGAATTGGTGTCAACTTGAGTGGGTGATTCTAAAATATCACTCCATTGAAAGCAGATGATTCATGGATGTCCTGAAAAGCAGTTCGGAATCCTTTTCATCCAGCTCTCTTTTAAAGGCTGTTAAATTTTGCCATCATTGATATACTGCTGAGCTGACCATGCTGAGGTGCATGTGTCCTGGGGTAAAATTGAAATCGAAGTTGACATGACATGAGAAACTTGGTACTGATGTGCCAGGGAGCCTGCAAAAAAAAAAAAATGGAATTATTTTCTGTTATCAGAATGTCAGAGACACAGAGCTTGGTTGATTGAATGGCTGTTCTGAGTAAAATAGAATTCTCTGTGTGTTTAGAATTCCTTCACTTCTTCATTTCCTATCTGAGAGAATTTCCAGGAGCCAGATATGAAACCCAATGACAGGAAACCTCAGGAGGCCTGAAATAAGATAGGATGTACAGTGGTGACAGATAGCTACCCTCCGTTTTGGAATGCAGTGAAAGCGTGGTGCAGCACAAAAGAGCATGGACTCTGGAGCATTGCAGTCTTGGGGTTGAATCTTAAATCTGTCAGCTTTGGGCAAGTTATCTAAGCCTCAGTTTTTTCATCTATAAAATGGAGATTGCAAAGACTTATGTGCGTCTGAAAAAAATAGATTGTTTTTCTTGCTCTCACACTCCACTCAACACACTTCTGACACCAGATGTGGGAGAGAGGTCTCCATACATACCAAGCAGTTCTCCAGTGGACACGAGCTGGGTTGCCCTATAGTTCAATTCAATTCTGACACCATCTACCTGGAGAGAGCATCAGATCTCACAGGTTAAAGATTCAATTCCACATGATTGCCTTCACTTCAGACGTCAATTGTAAGCCCCAATTTGTGACCTGTGTTTTTGACTAACTGGGTATAAATCCGGGTTCCAATAACTCCTTCCTTGGGTTCAATTAATTTGTTGGAGTGGCTCACAGAACTCAGGGAAACATTTTACTTATGTTTACTCACTTAATATAAATTATGCAATAAAGTATATAGATGAATGTCCCAATGAAAGAAACACATAGGACAAGGTATGTGAGAAGGCACATGGAGCTTCCATGCCCTATGCAAGTGCACCACCCTTCAGGTACCTCCATGTGCTCAGCAATCCAGAAGTTCCCTGAATCCTGTTCTGTTAGGTTTTTATGGAGGCTTCATTAAGTAGGCATAATTGATTAAGTCACTGGACATTGGTGATCAACTCAACATTTAGTCCCTTTTCACTCCACAAAGGTCAGGGGGCGGGACTGAAAGTTCCAAACTTCTCATCACACAGTTGGTTCCCCTGGCAACCAGCCCTCATCCTAAAGCTGCCCAGGAGCACACCAAAAGGTCTCTCATTAGAACACAAGATGCTCCTATCACTCAGAAAACTCCAAGGGATTTAGTAACTCTGTGTCAGATGCTCCTGTCACTCAGGAAATTACATAGGTGTTATGAGCTCTGTGGCAGGAACTGAGGTCAAAGACCAAATATTAGAACAAAAAATTATCCTACTGCCTCTATCTATAAGAGTTTTAAGAGCTCTGTGTCTGGAACCGGAAGCAGAGACCAAATGTATATTTCTTCTTATATCACAAAAAATTCTCCTAGTGCCCCTGTCTATAAGAGGTTTAAAGGCTCTGTGTCTGGAACCAGGAACAGAGACCAAATATGTATTTCTTCTTATATTATAGGAAGGGTCCAGTGAAACAGTATATCTTTAGTCTCCATCACATCACAGGCATTCAACCAATGCTAGTGAAATACCATCTTCCTTGTGAAAAAGTCTGGATGAACTACCAGTGGGCACAGCTTTCCTCTGGAAAGGCTTGATATTGTTCTATTACATGGCTGCTTACTGTACTCTGAACAACTGGTTCTCAAATGTAGCTACACATTTGAACTCCTTGGGGAATTTTAGAAACTGTCAATACCTGGCCTCACCTCTAAGGAATTTGATTTAATTATTCTGAGGTATGGCCCCAAAAATAAGAAATTTTTGAAAGTTCACCAGATGATTCTGATATATAGCCCAGATTGATGAGCAGAGGTTTGAGAGATTGTAATAGGGGATGCTCTGCTTATCATTTATTCCTTTTCTTATCAAAGTTGTGCATCCAAAGGGTCATGGTATTTTGACATCTCTCTCAGTCACACTTCTACCATGCTCCTGCTTAGGTCCTCTCTAGCCGAAAATCACTGGGTAGGGCAATTGGTCCAGTGTTTTTTGGAGGGACTTGCTAAGGTTCCAAGAATTATGCTCTGTTTCATGCTTAGTGCAGGTAGTAAGTCAGGGTTCAGGCAAAATAAAGGATATACAGCACCTTTAAATGCCAAACAGATTTAACAAAAGGAGACATTGAAGTGAGACTGGAGATTTGGGGAATAAAGAAAATTAACTGAAAGCAAAACAAATGAAAAGTTATGTTATGAGATTACCATAAATATGTCAAAACTGATATTTGCCTAAGAAAATGATCAGGTAAATGGGAAAAGAAGTATGGACATTGAAGTATTAATAAGATGTGTGTGTGTGTGTTTGTATGTGTGTGTGAAAAGAAATAAAGTGGTCAAAGACAATATACAGTTGATTATCCAGAGGCATATTAAAAAGTTACAGATTTTCCCTGAACACTATAAAAAGGTAGCGCATTTGTGAAAAAAGTCGTCATGACTCCGTGAGTCATCGACACATTGGCGGGCGGCTCAAATTTGGAATTCATAGTAACCAATTGACTCCACAGGGTGCTTACTCCAATGCAAAAATGCTATTATCCTTTGACTGACAGAAGAAGAGCTCACAAGTTCTTTCTCTCTTTGGATTTGTCTGATTGATATTGAAAATTGGGGAGGGGCTCAAGTTGAGGGCCATAAGATGCCTAAAGATCATAAGGAAAAGACAAGAGAAGACCTTTCAAGACAAAGGCATTGAATTAAAGATGAATGTCACAATGGCCAGCTAGCTTTCCCCAATATCACCTTATAACATTTCTTCTATAACCATCAGAAAATTTTGGTTAAAAGCAGGCTTGTAAATTGAAGGACCATTGTGAAATTAAAGAAAGATATTTTCAGATTTTAATTTAAATGTTAATTTTGGACCTAGGCTGAGTGTACCCATGCTCTAACTTCCATAATGTCATGAGATCTTTACCGTCTCCTAAGATTCTGTGAGTCAGAATACTTTTTGTCGTCTTTTAGGTTTACCCCACACCAAAGGGTTATAAAAGAGGTCTGGGGACCCCAAATATGTAATACAATTATAATAAGAATATTCCACTAGTCTATTTGAAGTACACACACACACATGCATGAATGAGACAGAATAGGTATAAGTATATAGAGACAGAAAGAGAAAAAGAGACAGCCACACACACACACACACACACACACACACACACACACACACACCCCACAAGCTTTTGAAACCTCCATATACTGTTACAAATAGCTGTGGGATTTTTAAGCTTATAGATACAGCTATGATAACACCCTTGAAGATCAGGCATAGATGAACATTTGGGAATGATTTCTATGTGACTCAGAGGATGCTAACAATGATGTTACTTGAAGCAATTGCTGAGCTAGAATTTCTTCTCTGGCCCTCCTCACTAGAACTTCTCTGGCTCTGATCACTTGTAGAAGATTAAGTAATTTTCCCCAACTTTTTAAGAAAATTTATTCCATTTTTTAAGTAACACGGTTAGAAAGTTATTCCTTTGTTCATTGCAGCGTTGTTTTAACAGATAAAATCAGGAAACAAACAAAATGACCAACAGCAAGAGAATATTGAAATAACCATGGTATATCCATTCAGTGTGCATCTGTTAAACACAATGAAGTAGATCAATCTTCACATGATAATAATGAATGCTCTCCAAAGTATACAGTTAAAGAAAAGTAGTAGGGACAGAATGATGAGTGTGGTATCATCTACAATATAGGCATAAAAATTTCTAGGAGATACACAAAATGTCTGTTCACTGCTTGTCTCTGGGGGTTGAGAATGTGAAGGTGAGAGGGATGCTGTTATTTTATATCTTTTTTAGTTTTTTGAAATCACATATATAAATTACTTCCTTTAAAATGAATAAAACAGTAGGGAGTTATTTCTTAATATTGAAAACAAATATTTACTCTACGTGTTCAAGTATTAACAGCTAAGTGCCTAACGAGGTTTAATTCCTAAATACAATTGCTAAATTTGCTTAGAGGTAATGTCTACAAGAGCATAAATTATATTTTTTTGGTCCACCAAGAATGAAGTATAGAGCTTTGATCCTAATATATTTTAGCAAATGCTGTTTTAATTCCTTGAAATTGCCATTGGCCCAGCAAGCATTCTTTTTCTTCAAATATTTGCCGAGTGGCACAGGATTTTAAAAATTTGCCCAGCCTGATCTATAGTGATAATCTAACCCTGGTGTTTGCATATGGGAAATAAGATGGGCTTCAAATGTTTGTTTATTAATATTGCATTTATTTTTTGTGTATCTTGGCAGGTCTCTGATTACAGTGTTCATATACTCTAACTGTCATGAATATGAAAGGCAATGTCAATTGACATGCATTCTGACAAGCTATTTGCAGCCCTCCAATCTTGAACTCAGTTGCGTAATTACTTTAAAGATATGTCTGTTTTTAAAATGATCTAGTCAGTCAATCAATAAACTGAAAACTACCTTTAATTTTCATACAGTGCAAAAGGAGAAGCTTAATAAATGACTAATGCATACTCACAGGAAGGAACACAGAGTATGTCTACTTCAGAACATTTGACCTCTTTTTCAGATAGGTAGCAGGAACATCTGTTTGTCATGGCAGAACGCCATTGGCAAGTGATCTTTCCAGGTTAATTATTGGATGATGTGCAGCCTTTCAGTAATTTGACAGTGCTTCATTATGAGAGCTTCAAGTAGGCAGATGTTTCCCTGAAGGAATCAGGAAAGTGCAGTGACAACTTCATTGTAGACTGACAAGAATTCAGATCTCTTCTTGTGATAGAACTGCTAGAGGAGCTGAAATGTTAGCAGTTTAGTTCTTGAGTGAAATATTGGTAATTAATCATTTGATAGACATAGGAAGAAATAATATTAGAAAGTGTCACTAATCCTTCTGTTAATTAGAACATCAAAACATCCCCATCTTAAAATTACCCCCAGAAGCATTCCAGATATAACACATTTAAAAGAAAAGAGAGAGATGAAAAATAAAATATACATCATTAGTTTAAGTACACATTTGAGAATGTACAAGATTTCTGCAGCAATCGATTTTAACTGTATTCCTACTCAGTAATATTATTATCACCATTAGCTGTTTGCCAGTAGATTCAGGTGTAATTTTCTTTTTTTACTGCTCACTGGACCCAAGCCTACCCAATTTAGTGTAGTTGGCTGTGGCGTCTCTTCCTTTCTTAAAACACAGGGCTTTCCAATTTCCAAGAATGTTTATGGTATAAGAGTAATTTGAAGCAGGTGTTTAAGCTTCACGCCTATGCTGTACAACAGAAGGTTTATATATTTGTCATTATATATTGAGACAGACCACAGCACTTGGAATGACCATCTGTCACCAAAGCATGCTGTGTGCTGAATGTAAGAGGAATAGGATTTTTTCACTGCAAACTCCTTTGAAAATAAAGGTTTCACTCCCCCACCATCGGCATCCTTACTCATTATTGTTTTGGATTAAACCAAAAGAATTATTTTTGTTTCTGTGCTTGCAGGCTGTCACCAATGAGAGAGCATTAGAATACTGCACAGCATTTCTGCTTGGTTTGGTTTACAAAATCGTAAACCCTGAGTTTGAGAGAGCCGTTAGCCCATGTATTTTCCCCAGAGGAGTGATATTTTAGCCTATATATTTCCTTCTTTGTTTCACAGCACTAAGCAGTCTGGGTTTTTAGTACTAGTTCTCTTTGCAAGAATCTGGGCTCTTAAGTCATTGTTGCCAACTCATGTGCCCACAGGGACCAGGAAGGTAATGTGAATTAGTGAATCTGGCAGAATAGCAATTGTGGCAAGTTGGAGAGACCATTGCCCATCAAGAGGGAGCAGCTAATAGATCTGCTGACTGTTGTGCAGATATGCAGGCCCAGCAACACAGATCTATCAATCTTACAGAATAAACTTGAAATCCAGATTTTTACATGTTACCTCCTAATGTTTAAGTATCAGTATTGCATTAAAAAAATTCAAACAAGTATGTAGGTCAAACAAATACATATGTAGTCTGATGTCTGCCAGTTTAGAAAACATCGCTTTACTAAAAATCTCCAGATCCAAATAAAAAATATTCTTTCAGAATTAATGATATTTTTCCCAGCAGGTATACACACATGACTTATTATAGCAAGAATTTTCCAACTAGATGTAATCTTATCAATAGCTTGTTAATCATAGTGGTAGTGATGCTGAAGATGTATAGCTTTCTCTTGTTACTTGGTTGTAGACTTTGAGGTCATGTTCACATTTACTCTTTCATAGATTTCCACATTGTAGCAAAACATGCACTTGGGAAAAAAATAAGATGGGCTGGAGGTAATCCTGAAACTATAAGGTGGGAGCACATATTTTGATTCAGCTGATCTAGATGGGGCTAGAAATCAGGTAACTCTGATGCAGGTGTTCATCAACAGTGCTTTATCAAACATTGAATTGGCGAATGATAATGAGTGTCTGATGGCCTGCCCAGATGGTTCAGGGTCAGGAAACACAGTATAGGAAGCTGAAGGAGAATGAGGGAGCAGAAGCTCAGGAAAATGGGACTTACCAGGCAGTAGATTATTAAAGCTAGGGCACAGTCAATAGCATGGCTGACTTGAGGGAATTCATTTCACTGGACTCTTTATTTATCCCAGGTATTGAGGGGCAAGTCATCCTACAGGTGTGGGGGTGGTGGTGGTGAGTATTTGCATATGCCAAGGTAGGGCATATGGGACTAGGAGTCATGCAGATCGTGCTACAAAATTTGTCCCCCAAATCAATATAAAACCAATCCAAAATCAATGGAACAACAATCAAACTGTACTCTCCTAGCTTGACAGTCTGCTGAAACTGGCTTATACATCTTTTGAGTTGTATGAAGGAGAAGATGAAATATTTTTCATCCATGCTGCCCAGCTCTTAGCACAGGGCCTGACGCTGCAGGCTGAGTCAGCATTTGTTGAGTTCATGAAGGTAGACACAGCCACATCGACATGGACATACAATGCATTTTTGAGAAGAGCTCACTCTCAAATATTTCACTGCTAATATTTTGTGTATGTTTTATAAATTCTTTGTCTTTTTGTAAGTTGAGTAGATATGGTTGATTTTTATATTTTAGAAGAACACTGTGATTTGATTTTTAACTGTGATTTTTACGGTTATCAATTACTCTTTACAAAGATTGTTTGTTATTGAGGCAATGTCAACCCCGACAGCAAATCCTTGCAGTTCTTTGATTGTAATGGTCTTCTCCATCCACATCAGTGTCACCCTGTGCTGGTAACCTGCTTAACCTGAGGCAGGGAAAACTTCTTTAGAGGGAAAATCATTGTTAATGAGATTGATGTTCATATGGACACCAGGGAAGTATGTTCCTAGTTCCCCTTCCACACAGTCTGTTCAGATTGGATATTTTTTAGTTCTAAACAGAAACATTTTTTTTCTCAGCTTCAGACCTTATACATGATTTGCAGTTCTGATCCTCTTCTGAGTGTCTTATAGAATAATAACATACTTTACTGCTAAGAGGATCTAATTTTAGTTCATGGAACAACTCTGTGATGTATTTCTGTTTCTCAAAAGAGCTACTCCCCATTTCATGTAGGGGTAAATGTATTCTCCCCGGTACTCTGCCCTTCTTATCAGAGGCTTCCCACTCCTCAAAAGGTTTCTCTTTATAGGTTTGACAGACTCTTCCTAATTGCTAAATGAAGAACCTTCTTTAATACACTATGTTCTATATTCTGAGTTCTTACATTTTTCTGTATGTCATACTGCCTTGACTATAATTTAAATATTGCCCTTCTACTAAACATGGGTCTTTTTTTAACTATACTTTTGTCTTCAGCATTCCTGAAGTTTCCACATGTTATAGAGAAGCAATCATTATTGTAACCATAAGTCATTTAGTAATGACTTGGGAAAATTAGTCTTCACTCAAATGATGTTCATCTCTGGACATTGTTCCAACGTCTTTGAGGGTCAATCTCTTTTCACAATTTAGGAAAATAAAAAAAATGGTTAAAAATAAAATTATGATTTTTATAAGAGTTACAAGATAAAACACACAAAAAATGGTACTAGCAAATTACTTAAAACAAAGCCATTGACAAGTGAGAATCCAAAAGTTAAACCAGATAACAATAAGGAACACAAAAATTGACAAGGATGAAAACAAAATAATTATTTTAAAAGCAAATGATTTGTGCAGAAAGCTCTGTTATGCTACGAATATTTTTAAAAGTAGCCTTGCCCATTGGTACATTCTTAATTCATTTTAAGAATCCAGGATAGATTCAATAACAACATAAATTTTATTAAACACAAGATAAAAATGAACAGTATTTGGGGCTTCATTTTGTTCAATATGAAATCTGCATTAAACATTTAAAAATAGTTATTGTGAAGTTTTGGGTTTTCATTTTTTACGGATTCATTTTAAGTGTTCTTTCTCAGTTCTAATTATCCTTAGGAAACAAAGGCTTCCTGTATATGTTAAATTTATTTCACTATTTTGCTGCTCATCAGGGTATATTACTCTTCCTCTTTCCCTCCCTTCCCTCTCTTCCTATCAAACAGGTGAAATCAATTTTAATATTGTATTTTGTTTAATCCAGTATATCCAAAATACCATAATTTCAACATGTAATTTATGTAAAAATTATTACTGAAATATTTACTTTTTTATATTAAATCTTTGAGGTGTAGTGTAATTTACACTTACAGCACATTTTAAGTTCTCAATAGCTTCATGTAGACAATAGTCACAGTATTAGACAGCAGAACTTTATAAAGATAACTGTAGCATCAGTATGGACAAAAGAACTGTCTGGAAAGGGGTAGGTGGTAAGGAGCAAGGGAAATGATTACTGCCTTTGCAAGAGTCCAGTCAAGAAAAGATGAGCCATTGAACAAACTAAAGCCAAGGAGGTGAGAATAGTAAGAAGGGGATAGAATTCATAGATGTTTAGGAGGCAGTAAGATGCAGTGGAGAAGAGCATAAGCTCTGGAACCACGTATGTTGCTTAGAATCTTGACTCTGCCTCTTTACAGCTATGTCTCCTTGCAAGTTGCTCAAGCTATGTATTGCTCATTGGGTCAAATATAAAATTGCAATGATAATACCAGTGTGCCTGGATAGTAGGGAGGTTGTAAGGATTAAATGAGTTAAAAAATATAATACTCTTAAAAGATGAACTGGTACCTTTTAGCATTCAATTAATGTTAGTTATCATGATTGAAATTAATAGGATTTTGTGATCAACTGGATATGGCCAGTGGGAGTGATTAGACTCAAGAACTACTCCAAAGCCTAGACTACTGTTCTTACTATAGCCCAAGGAATGGTATTATAACAGTTCTTTACAGAAATTCTAATTTAATGCTCCATGTCCTTGCTTAACAAATGGATCCCGATGACCAGCACACCAATTCCTTTCTCCTTCCAGGACCATTGTATCTGCTAGTCCTTCTGCTGAAAAGGCCCATTGCCCAGCCTCTTCTCAGGTCTCAGTTCAAAGAAGGAAAGCCTCAAAGAAGCCTTCCTTGATCATCCTGCTCTCTATCTCAGCCACCTCCACAGCTCTTACCAAACTCCATATCTACTGTGTCTTGTTATTTGTTATCCCTCTGTCCCACTGGTTATAAACTCTATTATAGCTGTCTGCATTGTTTATCACTGTGTCCCCACTACTTAGGAACAGTCCTTGGAACAAAACTGATGATAAAAAATAAAGTGTTCAATGAATGAATAAATATTTGATTTTCTATGCTTTTGGAGAGTAATTTGTGGCTCCAGTTCTGAGATTATTTTTTATCTTTATCTAACTTAAGGCATTTTTTCTCATTAGAGTTTTTCTAGGGGGAATAAATTGCCTAGCTGCTCTAAATGGTTTTTGTCTCAGTGTAAGTAGAGTTGGCCTCACCAGGCTTATTCTAGGTCTAATGGCTTTGAAATAAATTAGCGACCTACGGACTAGTTAAGAAATTTGTTGTTTTGCCCCAAACCTACTTTTTCACCTGTAAACATTTTTTTTTTTGCTTTGTGTCATGTCTGAAGTGCTCTTTCTAAAAACTGCTATTTCCTCTTATAATGTCCTACATTTGAGAGAGTTGATAACTTCTTGTTATGTTGCTGTTCATGATCACAGAAACTAGATAAATCCCAAGGAGCTTGAGATGATTAGGAAAACCTACTAGAATGATTACTCCTATTAAAACATAGGTTAGAAGATGCACATTTGTGTTTCTTTTGCTTATCAACATAGGATTGTTTATGATTTTTTTATTGATTTACTCTTATTTTTACTATTAAGCTTATTCTTTAATTTGTCCTAACTCTAGCTATAAGCTTTTTCTAGCTTTTAAATATAAGTTTCAAGTTTAAGGTATAATTTTAATTAATTCATTAAATCAACAAAAATTCCCAATTGAGAAACATTATACTAGGTATTTAGTAGATGTGACATATGAATAAGAAATCATAGCAAATGATGAATATTTTAAGAGTGATGTGTTCAACTATTACTAGGAGAATTCAGTAGAAGAAGTAATTTCTTTACAAAAAGGATGGGCAATGAAGGAAGTAATCATGGAAGGTTTTACAGAGGAGGTGGCTATATTAGACGACATTGGGGGACTAGTTGAACTCATCAGACAGAGATAGGTTGGATTGCAGAAAACATGAGAGATGGGTCTGTTGGAACTCAGAAAATAATATCCCAAATGAAAGCCTCAGAAGCAGCCTCAAAAGCAAAGTTTCTTTCTGACCTCCTGACCTTCTGTCTCTCAGCCTCATTCTCCCCTAAGCCTAGCCATAGAAACTAGAATCTCTTTTTTCCAATGTGGGTCATAGAAACCACTTTCCCTCAAAGCCAGCCATAAAACTAAAAATAATACTTGAATTTTCCCTCACCTTTCTGTGTAAATCTGGCCTGCCTTATTTGATTGTAGGTCATAAAACTCCTATTCCAGAGAGGGTTTTGCCCCATACCTAGAAGGAAAGAATGCTGCACAGACAGGCCAAGAAGAGTCTAAAGAGACAGGCCTTTCTGGGCTCGCCCCCCAGCCCCAATCAAGCTATTACTACTATATCAATACCCTTTTTGTCCAGTCACATTTCTACATGGCTGTTTCTTCTTCATTAAACCTAAGCATAAAATCAGATGGCTTCCCTTGTGTCTTTTAGTTTTCTTTCTAAAGGCTCCCATGTCAAGTAAAACCATGATTAAACAAATCTGATATGCTTTTTTCTTGTTAACCTGTCTTTTGTTATGGGGATATCAGCCGTAACCCACAGGATGGGGATGAGACGAATCGCCACCTTTCTGCCCCTACAGCTCAAAGGAGTAAATAGAAGACTTGAGGTAGGAACATCATGTTAAATTAAATCAATGGAAACAGTCCTATTGCCTATATGTAGTGGAGGATAAGGACCAATATAAGGCACCTCTGGAAGGAGAGGTTGGAAGCTGGTTGTGAGGTACTCAAACAACATATCCTCAGACATTATTTATTGGGCCACTGAAAGCCAATATACTCTGGGCTGATCCACTCATTTATTTATGGTGTTGCTCTATTTGCCTGATGTGTCCTTATGATTCCATCTTGCTTTGAGGATCTCAGAAGTATAAATAACTCTTAATAATGATCAGGAAAAAGATAAAAAGGAAAGATAGAGGCTATATCAAGCTTGTACAGGAATTTACATCTAACCTTGTCACCAATTTGGTTATTTGGTTTATATATAGAATGGATATTTGGGCTTGACCAAGAAGACAAATTTGACAGGAATAAATGTACAGTCTTGTATTTAGTTCATAAAAGTCAGTTGCACAGTGCAGGATAGGTTTGACAGTAGACCACGGAAAAAAGAATTTATTTGACAATAAACTAGATAAGGAGTAATGTCACTGCTGAAAAGCAATAAAAAATGTAGTTTAACCTGCTGAAAAGCAGGTACATTAACTGAAACGAGTACTATATTCTTAAATGATTTGATGGACAAAAGGTTAAAATTAATTTTAGGAAAACTTGAAAGTTAAACATATTCACATATAATTTTAGTGATATGTTTAGTTAAGAATATGAAACCCCTCAATGCCCAATCTATAGTAAACTGACCTGTTTGGTTCACTCATACCTGCTGAAAAAGAGCACACACAAAAAAACAAATACTATTTAGATATGAAAAGTTTTTAAACTTTGAATTCTGACTGATTTCAAGTGTGTAATTTTAAGTAAGGCAACCCCTGCGTCTGTTTCTTCTAGGGATGCCCTAAGTTGAAAGAGTTGATTAGCTTTTGTTGAGCTGTTATTCATGATCACAGAAACTAGAAATACAAATCCTAATGAGGTAGAAATGGGTACGGAAGCATATTTGTGCAATATCTTTTCTATTTGTTTCAGAGGATTGTTGGGAGAACTCATAAAATCATTTTTATACACTGTGACATTCTAAAATATACAAGGTTTTCTGATTAATAAAGAGGCCATTTGTGTCTCTTCCTTTGCCTCTTCTAGTTTTGGAGAGTCAATGAGGTTACCAACGTCATATTCCTGCATACTGAGTGGGCCTTTTGTGAATGTCCCTCCCTTCCCTATCAAGTTTGCTTGTGAAGAAACAAATACTTAGTGGTTCCCAAAATGGGATCCGGGGATTACCTACATAAGACACATCCAGAGTACTTGTAACAAAACAGAGATCCTTTCAGACTTGCTGCATCCAAATTTCTGGAGGTAGGACCAAGAGATCTATATTTTCATCAAAAGATCCAGTGATTCTCAACTGGGGGAGATTTTGTCCCCAGCCCCTGAGGACATTTGACAATGTCTGGAGACATTTATGGTGGTCACAACTGGGACAGGACAGGTGTTGGGTGGGGGATGTGCTACTGGTATGCTGTGAGTAAAGGCCAGAAATATTGCTAAACGTCCTATAATGCAAAGGACAGCACCCCTCCCACCTCCTCAAGACAAGTAATTATCCAGCCCAAATTGTGAATGGTGCTCAGGTTGAAAAACCATGTTATGCACAGGAGAGTTTAAAAGCTGCTTTTCAAGCATGTGTCATCTATCTTTGGCATTTACCCTCAGTTATTTTTAAATTTATTCATATATTCATTTTCAACACATTTAAAAATGCTCGTTACTATAAAGGTAGAAAAATATAGAACTTTAAATAAAATATTGGAGTTGGGATTAGTTACTTTGGGCTCATTTCTGGGTTTCTTTTAAAAAAGTTTCCTCAATTTAGAGTTAATTTTTCCACTGGAAAAATAGGAATCAAGATGAGATTTCCATCTAGCTGCTTCTTCTTTTCACACATTGAAAAACTTTCTTAACTTGAACTGGCTAAGAGGTTAATCTGACTTTAAGAAGAGTCAATTTTATAGAATATTTTTAAAAATATCATTTAGTTTTATTGTGTTCAAGGGCATAGAGATATTTTGCTGATGAAATTCAGGAAGGAAGAGATGAACTATATATTTTTAAGAACTTGTTTTTACACACAGGTAACAATCACTTGTAATTAGCAGTTAATTGAATGCAAACACTGCTGTTAAAGTGGTGATTGAAACAGCAGTTGTCCTTTACTCTTCAGTAGAAGAAGAATTTTTCTCCTTTGCACTATTGATTTGCTGACAGATCTATTTTATATTATAGTGGCATAAGGGTAAAATCTGCCCGGCACTTCTAAAATACCATGAATTCTTATAACCCTTAAAAATAAAACACAACATCACTTTGCTTTCATTAAGCAAAAGGATTAGTATAATATAAAAATCACCCGTATTACATGTTTAAACCTGAATTCAAATTTAACTTCATAAGGTATCTTCAGCAGATGTTCTGTCTCATAATCATTTCTATGGTGACTTTCAGTTCTGGAAAGCCTTGAATCTCTAATGAAAATTTTTCAAAGTAATAAGATGGAAAAGAAGCACTAAAATAAGCTTGGAGATAGAATTTTAAAACATTTTGGCTAAATGTATCAGGTTAGAAGTTGCCCTAGTTACTGATTGCTGCTATTAGATATTCCCGTTGTACAAGGAAAGCCAGTTATTGATTTTTTCACATTTGAATTTCTTTTAAAGTAGTTCATTGTCTCTATTGTGGATCTTTATCTCAGCCATGAAAATTCAGGGTAATAGAAATGACCTGCTATTCTGATGTCTGGCTAGTGTCTTGCTTAATTTACTTACCCCTGTGAACCTAGAAACTATTAGAATATACTGTTCATGGAATGCATAAAATTAACATGTCCCATTGTGCTTTGATATTGTTGTAGTGACAATATATTTCAGCCACTGTTGATGATGGATTAATTTACCTTAAACAATGCATTTCAAAATTTTGGTTCCTGTCATCTTGATTTCATTTATATATTAATATCTGTATATTCTTATGACAACAAATATATGCATAGGTCACTAGCTAAAAGTAAAAAGAGGCAAATTTTCAGCAGTACAGAAAAAAATAAATTAATGCATTGCACTTCTATTTGTCATTGTACTGAAGACTTTAACAAGTTTAAGAACTATCCTATACATTAATTTTGAGGGTTTCCAATTTGATTGGGACTGGGCCTTGGAAGTAGATGCCAAACAAATAAGCACACATATGGAAATGTAATTAAATTGTTTTTTAAAAAATCTACAGTATTCCTTTTCAACTAGGGTGCTGCAATTCAATGCAGCTCTAATGCTAACCACCCAGAGCTAGTGTCAGACTCTACTGTCTAAAGGGAATAGTCCCTGGTAGGACTACCCTTATGCTAGATGCCAGCCACAAATCCTAGGGGTCTTCCAGAACTTGCATTTCTGACCAAGTGGGCCACCAATTAGGGAATTCCCACAACCCCCTGCAAGTTTGATACTTTACAAAGATGACACAGAATTCAGGAAAGTGCTACACTTATGATTACAATACAGTGAGATCTAGAAGGGCATCAAGTGCTGAGCTTCCATGCCCTCAGTTAGGCATGCAGTTGGGGTGCTCTACCCTCCTGACGCATTGTGTATTCACTAACCAGGAAGCTCCACTGAGCTTCAGTGTCCAGAGTTTTTATTGGTATCTCAGTACATAGGCATGATTGATTAAATTATTAGCCATGGGATTGAATTCAAAGTCCAGATTAAGGGGGCTGAAAGTTCCAACCCTCTAATCACATAATTGGTCTTTTTGCTGACCAGCTCCTATCCTGAAGCTATCTAGGTGCACAGATAGGTCACTTCATTAACATAACAGAGATGCTACTATCACTCAGAAAATTCCAAAGGTATTTGAAACTCCTTGCCAGAAACCTAATGCAATTATCAGACTAATTATTTATTATACCACACACAAGTATCATAAATAGTATTATAAATAAAGAAAGAAAATATTAATTCAGGGCCTACTGTGTTCTAGCTGCTATTTGAGCAATAAACAAATTAAACCAAACAAAAATTTAGCTATAAGAGTTTTCTATCTAGTGGATGGTTTGGGTTGGGTGGGGACATACACAATAATTAAATAGGTAAATAATTAAACAGGGAAATTTTACAGCATAGGGAGAGCTGTGGAGAATTAACAGTAGGGGAGACTAGAGAGTGTCCGGGTCGTGGAGCTGCTATTTTAAATTGGGTGAGCTATTTGAGAAGCTGCTTTCTGTGTTCTGGAGGTAACAAGTGAATGAGCTATGGGGGTATCTGAGAAAAGACTGTATCAAGCAGATCTTTGCACTGTACAAAGACCTTGAGACAGGAGCATACTTAAGTTTTGAAATAACGGCAAGAAACCAGATGTGCCAGATAGGTTTTTAAATGTTGACTGAATTTGTATAAAGGTTACAGTAAATACTTAGGATAAAATCAGTATGATATAAAATGCTGTGAAAATGCCAATGCTAACAATAGAAGAAAAACTTTTTTTTAGAGTGTAAAGCCACCTAGGCTAAATCAGTGACAACTGAGGAATAATAAAGTTAAAAGTTTATCTTGGAGGCCATTGGCTTTAGAAATTTTTCAGGCTTTGTGTCATCCATCTTTGCTTTGCCATGGCAGTGACTTCTAATATAGTTTTATATATGAAACTGTCTAGATTTAAAAGCTTTGACAAGGAAGTTCTTGTAAAATAAGTTATTATTATTATTACAAATCTTTGTAAAATAAGATATTATTATTATTACAAATCTCATTTAATTTTATAAATCAGAATATGGTTTTCTAAAAGTCTGGGCTAGAAAATGAGAAAACTAAGATTGGATCAGAAATTCTGATCATATATAAATAAAACCTGCAGGAAAATTTCCTGTTCCAACATTTGTAAAGTTTAAGGTATTCCCATAATATTAAAATATATTATTCTTTTGGGCTTATTTTTTAGACAACAATAATTCTACTGGCTATTCTTTGACTGTTTTTAGTTGGTGAAAATAAAAGGATATTCCTCAAACATGTGTATTATTATTTTCAGGTTTTATCTAGCTCTGCATGTGATATTTGAGTTTAAAATGTTTGGAGTAAGCAGAGTATTGAGGAAACTCACCATATTAGGAAATTTCCCCTCCCATATATGTTACCTTTTGCATAGAATTAAAACCTATTCATATTCTGCCCCAAGTTTTCGTGCAATGTATTTTTCTCCATTGCTGTAAATACACATGTTGACAAATAAGTAGTCTCCTACAAGATACGTTGACTTCACTATTGCACATGATCACTATTATTACTAATACTTTAACATGATGAAACAAAGTTACACATTATGTGCATGTTTAAAGCAGTCATTTTTAGAGGCTACATTTCAACAACTAGAATCAGAAAGTTTTGGACCTTTGCTTTTGAAATGACTTTTCATGAAGGCAGTATATGCACATTCTTTAAAGACATTCTAGAAAGTCATGTCTTCATTTCTGGAGAATGAATTTGACTTGTGAAAATCATCTGGAAAAAATCAGAGTCAAGTGACTTAAACAGGAGTGGAGGGTGGTTTAATAAATTCTACCGCGGTATTAAAATACAAAAATAAAAGGATTTGACAGACTTTTTTACATGGCTTTTAAGTTGGCTCAAAATGGGTTTTCAAAATGGTTTGAACTTGGCATTGTTTTTTTGATGAGCTTAGAGTCTCCTGTAGTTAATGTTCTGAAAGATATCAATCTTTCAAGAGTGCATGTTATGGTATTTTATTAAAATTATCAGACATTGCTTTATAGTCAGAATGAGTTTTATCAGCATGACATTAGAGATACACTTCACAAAGATATTTACACTAATAAGTCTAATTTTGATAAATTTTAAAAGTGGTTATTTCTTCTACGGGACAATGGTTCTGGTAATGACAATGAATTCTTTGATGACAATTCATATTTTTAAACAGCATGTATATAATTATATACTTAGCAGAAGTGTTTCTTGTTTTAGAAGGTGTTTAACTTCAATCAGTTGATTTTGTTGATCATTAGTTTGAAGAGTGCTACTTTTTACTTCATTTTTCTTAAAGGTATATGTATATGTATATGTATCTATTTGACTACATATTGGGGTCATTAAGACTCAAGAGGTAAGAGAGTTTCATTTAAAGAAGTGTTTTTACTTTATTTTATTTTATTTTTAGAAGAAGTTTGCTTCCATTTACTTTTTACTGAGATGTAGATTTGTTTTATTCCTGCTCTTTGCTGGGTAGTATACCAGCTAGTGCCTGGGAGAGAAAATGATCAAGGTGCATTGGGTTCATTGGAGAAGCTTCCATTAAATCTAGGAAATAAGACAAGGACACACTTGACTATATTGTGGTGTCAGTAAGTGTCATTCCCCACACAAATATACTGCTGTAGGTACCGGAGAAGGAAGAGAGAATGTCTAATTGAAAACATTGAGAAAGGCTTGATATTGGCCTTGATAAATAGAGTATATTTTTATGAGATTTACAAGTCAGTGAAGCAGTATAAGGGAATAGGTGAGTTCCGAGAATATAAGAGGCATTTGGATAACTATGATAAGGTTGATGAGATGACAGCTTAAGATATTAGGCATATAGCAGAGGTTAAGATTGGTAAGATAATTTGGGTCGTTGTTGTGGAGGGCCCTGCTTACCAAATATAGAATAGATTAGGCATTGTAGAAAGCTGAATTTTTGATAGCATTAGAGTTGTGCTTTGAAAAGATACATATGATAACAGGATACATTGGAACAAGGAGAGACCAGAGGCAAAGAGAGAGGTAGGTAGAGTCTTGAGAGTTAATGCATTTCTGGACAAAGGCAGTAGCTAACACAGTGAAAATTTTCAGAGCTGGATTAATCAGTGCTAAGCTGGACATGAAAGGCAACAAGAAACAAATACATAGATTTAGAGAAAGCAATGGATAGATGTATCTTGATGTGATGATGTGATATTTTTATCAATCTTGAGAGTAGGTCTGCATATTGACTACTCGTAAGAAAGGCTTGAGGATCCGCCTCAGGTTTTTGTTCAGGCTTGTAAGGAGCTTGGAAGTTGCCATTCCAGCCTTCAACAAGTAAAAATCCAAACAAACTTAAAAACATAAAACAAAAAATAACAATGCTACTTAGATGTCTCAGAGAAGTAAGGTCCCAGGGCAAATTGTCCCCAGAACTGGAGAGAGACGGGCTAATACAGAGAATTATAACTTACTAGAGCAGAAATTCATATGCAAAAGCCCCTGTAAGAACCAGTTTTTTGGTAGGAAAACCTGACTTGTAATTGTAGAATTGCTAAAAGCCCAAAATAAACCATTTGAGATTTAAAAACTTCAGGGAGGAGGTCCATTCATCGGGAGGCTTCCACACTTTTATGTTTTATTACCAGGAGCTCTACCAGGTTCTCATAGGAGAATAGTTCCTTAATGCTCTGGCAAGGAGATAGGAAAAAAAAATCATTTGAATATATGTTAGAATATTCTGTTTTTCTTAACAAGGCCTGCCTTCAGGAGAAACTATTTTACTAGAGCCTAATCTACTAGGATCTTATCAGAACTTAACCTATCTAGGGAAAGGGAAATACCCAACTTCAATTATTTTCTTGCCATCCTGTCCAACCTAAGTGGATTCCAAGGGGAGAACTAAGAAGCACTGGTGAAGTTCATAGTCCAATGGCACAAGCTCACCAGAAACCTGAGACCTAATCACAGGACTATAGAAAATTTCCTCTCCCCTCTACAGTCCTTACCACCCCATTATTAAAAGTTTGTTTTACTGTAGTAAAAATGAGTATAATTGATATCCTAAAAATAGCAGAGAAAATGGAATCATATAAAATTCTCAACTGAAACCACAAAAGGCAAAAAAAGTGTGAAAGATGAAAATAGAAATAAAGAACAAAGACTGTAACAAAAAAACAGTTATAACTATGACAAATATCAACCTAACTGTATTCATAATCACTTTCAACATCGATAGTCTACATACATTAATTAAAAGACAGAGGTTGTCGCAGTTGATCAAAAAGCAAGACCTAACTATATGCTGTCCATGAGAAACCTAATTTGAGCACAAATACACAAGCAGATTAAAAGTAAAGGGATGAAGAAAGGTATATTATGAACTATGGAATGAAAGTTTTCCCCCCAAATTAATATGTTAAAATCTTTAACTTCAATGTAATGGTATTAATAGGTAGGGCTGTTTAGGGGCAATTAAGTTATAAGGGGGAGCTCTCATAAATGCAATTAATGTTCTTTTTTGTTTGTTTGTTTGAGATGGAGTCTTGCTCTGTCGCCCAGGCTGGAGTGCAGTGGAAAGAGCTCTCTAGCCTTTTTTTTTTCTGTCATACAGTAAGAAGACTATAGTCTGCAACCCAGATGGGGGCCCTTACCAGAACCAGACCATTCTGACATCCTGATTTCAGACTTCTAGCCTTCAGGACAGTGAGAATTCAATTTGCATGGTTTATAAGCTACCCAGTATATGGTACTTTGTTATAGTACCTCAAACTGGCTAAGACAGAAATTAGTACTGAAAATTAGGAGTGTCACTGTAAAAAATACCCAAAAGTGTGGAAGTGATTTAGAAAGTGGGTAATTAATAGAGATTGGAAGAGTTATGAAGCATGTGCTAGAGAAAGCCTATGCCATGGACTTTTAAAGGTGATTCTGCTGAGAGTTCAGAAAGAAAAGAGGAGAGTGGTACAGAAAGTTTCTGCCTTCTAAGAGAAGACCTAAGTATCCATGAACAGAATTCTGATAGAAATATACATTTCTAAGAGCCATTCTGATGAGATCTGAGACAGAAATGAGGAGCATGTAGTTGAACGATGGAGAAAAGGTGATTCTTGCTATATAGTGGCAAATAATTTGGCTGACTTGTGTTCATGTTATAGCATTTTGTGGAAAGTAGAAACTGCACTGGCGTTGGATATATAGCTGAGATTTCTAAGCAAAGTGTAGAAGGAGCTGCTTGGTTTTTCCTGACTCCTTATGGTAAAATACAAAAGGAGAGAAATAAATTGCAGATAAAATTATTAATCAAAAAAGATTAAATCTTAAAATTTGGAAAATTCTCAGCCTATTTGTATTGTAAAAAAATAAAGAAGGATGTTTGGAATAGTAAAGGTGTGGCCAAGTGGCCATTTGATAAGGAGATTAGCATGGATGTGAATCATTTACTTAATCAACCATTTCAACAAAAATCAGAAATAGAGAGGGGAACTATTTTTCAGGTGGAGCTAAAGGAAACAGAGAAGATAGGACAAAATTAAAGAAGACTATTGATATTCTTAGACTCTGCAGGACTGGATCATAGAACTATTCATCTGCAAATACATGTGTCAAGACAAGGGAAGAAGGCCTTGAAGGAGATTCGAGATTATCAGGGTTACCACTCCCACTATAGCTTCAGAATGCACAGGCCCAAATGGCAGGGTTGCCTCCACTTCAATTGTGGAGTATGGGACCAATACTCAGCTGAGCCGTGGGGGTGGTGCTGCCTGGAAGAATCCTAAGGGTGTAACCCCTGTACCAAACAGAAAACTACAGAATAAGCAGGTCCTCTGAAGAGAGCCACAGTATAGCAGTTCCCTGCTGGCTGTGGGGGTGATGTAGCAAGAATGAAAGGAAGTAAAATACATTTGGAAGAGGGCCAAGTGGGTAACTTGAGAGATCCAAGTGCTCCATCTAACTCTTGACTTGGGCTTTTATACATTGGCATAGTTCTGGGGTTTTCTGGGGTTTTGTGCTCTCCTACCTTGATTTTTCCTTGGGGCGGGTTGTCAGCATCACTTGGGAGGGGCCATATGCACAGCGTATTTACTGAAGCTGTGTGTATGCTCATTTGAGGCATTTTTCCCTTACTAGTCAAGTGTTCCTAAAGGAACGTCATATACCAGTTAAACTGCCATTTTGCCTCTCAGTTTGCATGCTTAAGCCTACTCACCCAACACCTGAGATCTTACTGGGCTACTGCTAATCACCAGCTTCAGGTGTTTTCTATCTGTTGGGAGCCTGCCTTTCCCTGGCACCAGCTGCAACCAATGATTATTTTAGAGAGACAGTTTAACAACCTCCTGACCCTCACCTGATGGTTGCCTAATGTTCCGGGGAAGGTAAGCCTCTCTGCCCTGCGCATGTCTGCCTAGCTACCTACTATAATAGAACCTCTTTCCCAGTGGCCCTGGGGGGCAGAGTATGGAGCCAAAAAGGATATTCTCAAGCCTTTAGATCTCATGTAGTTGCCTTGGCTTGCTTGGGACTCATCATCCCTTCCTGCTTTCCTAATCCTCCCTTTTGGAATAGAAACATCTGTCCTATGCCTATTCCAACATTGTGTTCTGGAAGCATATAGCTTGTTTGATTTCACAGGCTTGCAGCTGGAGGGAAGTATTGCCTCGGTATAAATTATACCTTGAGTCTCATCCATATCTAATATAGAAGATATTTAGAGGAGACATTGGAATTAGACTTTGAAATTGATTCTAGAAAAATTTCAGAATTTTGGATAGATGGGATGGAAAGAATGTATTTTACAAGCTTGAATGACATAAATCTGGGGGTTCCATGGGTGGAATATTATGTACTGAATGCTCAAGTGCTCTCAAAATTTATATGATAAAATCCTAACCCTCAATGTGATGGTATGAGGAGATGGCATTTTTGGAGATAATTAAATTACGAGAGAAGAGCCCCATGAATGAATAAGACACTAGAATGCTTTCTAGCCCTCTTTCCATCATGTGAGGATGCAACAAGAGACTGCAGTCTGCAACCTGGAAGAGAGCCCTCATGCTGACACCCTGATCTTGGACTTCCAGCCTCCAGAACTGTAAGACATAAGTTTTGTTGCCTATAAACCACTCAATCTATGGTACTTTGTTATAGCAGCCTGAACTAACTAAGACACCATGTTAACACTAATTAAAAGAAAGAAGGAGTAGTTATACAGAAGTCCTTTGGTATCCAGGGGAGATTGGTTTCAGGACCCACTGCAGATACCAGCATCCACAGATGCCCAAGTCCCCTATATAAAATGGTGTAGCATTTGCATGTAACCTACACAATCATCCTGTATATTTTAAATCATCTCTAGATTACTTATAATGCCTAGTAAAAATTAAATACTATATAAATAGTTATACTATATTATTTTTATTACTTTTATTGCTGTATTGTTATTTTTTATTCCTTTTTGGGGATATATATATTTTTTATTTACCATGAGTTATTGGGGTACAGGTGGTATTGATTATATGAGTAAGTTCTTTAGTGGTGATTTGTGAGCTCCTGGTGCACCCATTACCCAAGCAGTATACAGTGAACCATATATGTTGTCTTTTATCTCTCGCCCTCCCCCCACTCTTCCCCCCAAGTCCCCCAGGTCCATTATATCATTCTTATGCCTTTGCATCCTCATAGCTTAGATCCCACGTATCAGTGAGAACATACGATGTTTGCTTTTCCATTCCTGAGTTACTTCATTTAGAATAATAGTCTCCAGTCTCATCCAGGTCATTGCAAATGCTGTTAATTCATTCCTTTTTGTGGCTGAATAATATTCCATCATATATATATGTATATATATGTGTATATATATGTATATACACATGCATATATATGTATATATGTATATACACATGCATATATATGTATATATGTATACACACGTGCATATATGTGTATATATGTATATACACATGCATATATGTGTATATATGTATATACACGTGCATATATGTGTATATATGTATATACACGTGCATATATGTGTATATATGTATATACACGTGCATATATGTGTATATATGTATATACACGTGCATATATGTGTATATATGTATATACACGTGCATATATGTATATATGTATATACACGTGCATATATGTATATATGTATATACACGTGCATATATATGTATATATATGTATATACACGTGCATATATATGTATATATATGTATATACACGTGCATATATATGTATATATGTATATACATGTGCATATATATGTATATATGTATATACATGTGCATATATATGTATATACATGTGCATATATATGCATATATATGTATATACATGTGCATATATATGTATATATGTATATACATGTGCATATATATGTATATATGTATATACATGTGCATATATATGTGTATATGTATATACATGTGCATATATATGTGTATATGTATATACATGTGCATATATATGTGTATATGTATATACATGTGCATATATATGTGTATATGTATATACTTGTGCATATATATGTATATATATGATGGAATATATATTGTATATAATGGTGTCACATTTGTATATAACCTACACAGTCCTCCTGTATATTTTAAATCATGTCTACATTACTTACATTACTTATAATACCTAGTAAAATATAAATACTATATAAGTAGTTTTATATATAAAGAGACCTATCTATCTGTCTATCTATCTATCTATCTATCTATCTATCTATCTGTCTGTCTGTCTATCTTTATCCACTTGTTGACTGATGGGCATTTGGGTTGGTTCCATGATTTTGCAATTGTGAATTGTGCTGCTATAAGCATGCATGTGCAAGTATCTTTTTTCAATAATGGCTTCTTTTCCTCTGGGTAGATACCCTGTAGTGGGATTGCTGGATCAAATGGTAGTTCTACTTTTAGTTCTTTAAGGAATCTCCATAGCGGCTATACTAGTTTACATTCCTACCAGCAGTGTAGAAGTGTTCCCTGATGGCTGCATCCATACCAACATATTTTGTTATTTGATTTTTTGATTATGGCCATTCTTGCAGGAGTGAGGTGGTATCACATTGTGGTTTTGATTTGCATTTCTCTGATCATTAATGATGTTGAGCATTTTATTATATATTTGTTGGCCATTTGTAGGTCTTCTTTTGAGAATTGTCTATTCATGTTCTTAGCCCACTTTTTGATGGGATTGTTTGTTTTTTTCTTACTGATTTGTTTGAGTTAGTTGTAGTTTCTGGATATTAGTCGTTTGTCCGATGTATAGATTGTGAAAATTTTCTCCCACTCTGTGGGTTGTCTGTTTACTTTGCTGACTATTCCTTTTGCCATGCAAAAGCTCTTTAGTTTAATTAGGTCCCAGTTATTTATCTTGGTTTGTATTGCATTTGCTTTTGGGTTTTTGGTCATGGAATCCTTGCCTAAACCAATGTCTATAAGGGTTCTTCCAATGTTATCTTCTAGAATGTTTATAGTTTCAGGTCTTCAGTTTAAGTCCTTAATCCATCTTGAGTTGATTTTCTATAAGGTGAGAAGTGAGGATCCAGTTTCATTCTGCTACATGTGGCTAGCCAGTTATCCCAGGAGCATTTGTTGAAAAGGGTGTCCTTTCCCCACTTGGTGTTTTTGTTTGCTTTGTCAAAGATCAGTTGTCTGTAAGTATTTGGGTTTATTTCTGGGTTCTCTGTTCTGTTCCATTGGTCTATGTGCCTATTTTTATACTAGTACTATGCTGTTTTGGTGACTATGGCCTTACGGTATAGTTTGAAATCAGGTAGTGTGATGCCTCCAGAATTGTTCTTTTTGCTTGGTCTTGCTTTGGCTATGTAGGCTCTTTTTTGGTTCCATGTGAAGTTTAGAATTTTTTTTTTCTAATTCTGTGAACAGTGATTGTGGTATTTTGATGGGGATTGCATTGAATTTGGAGATAGCTTTTGGCAATACAGTCATTTTCACAATATAGATTCTACTGTCCGTGAGCATAGGATGTGTTTTCATTTGTTTGTGTCATCTATGATTTCTTTCAGCAGTGATTTATAGTTTTCCTTGCAGAAGTCTTTCTACTCCTTTGTTACATATATTCCTAAGTTTTTTTTTTTTTTTGGCAACTTTTGTAAAAGGGATTGATTTCTTGATTTGATTCTCTATTTGGTCATTGTTGTTGCATAGAAGAGCTACTGATTTGTGAACATTAATCTTGTATCCAGAAACTTTGCTGAATTCTTTTATCAGTTCTAGGAGCTTTCTGGAGGAGTCCTTAGGATTTGCAAGGTAAACGATCATATAGCTAGCAAACAGGGACAGTTTGACTTCCTTCTTACCGATTTGGATGCCTTTTATTTCCTTCTCTTGTCTGATTGTTCTGGCTAGGACTTCCAGTACTCTGTTGAAGAGGAGTGGTGAGAGTGGGCATCATTATGTTCTTCCCATTCTCAGAGGGAATGCTTTCAACTTTTCCCCATTCAGTATTATGTTGGCTGTGAGTTTGTCATAGATGGCTTTTATTACATTAATCTATGTCTATAGTATGCCGATTTTGCTGAGAGTTTTAATCATAAAGAGATGCTGGATTTTGTCGAATGCTTTTTCTGAATCTATTGAGATGATCTTGTGATTTTTGTTTGTAGTTCTTATGTGGTGTATCACATTTATTGACTTGTGTATGTTAAACCATCCCTGCATCCCCGGTATGAAACCCACTTGATCATGGTGGATTATCTTTTTGCTATGTTGTTAGATTTGGTTAGCCAGTATTTTGTTAAGGACTTCAGCATCTATGTTCATTAAGGATATCTGTCTATAGTTTTCTTTTTTGGTTGTGTCCTTTCCTGGTTTGGGTATTAGGGTGATGCTGGCTTCATAAAATAAGTTAGGGGGTGTTCCTTCTTTCTCTGTCTTATGGAATAGTGTCAAAAGGATTGGTACCAATTCTTATTTGAATGTCTGGTAGAATTCTGCTGTGAATTTGTCTGGTCTTGGGCTTTTTTTGTTGGTAATCTTTAAATTATCATTTCAATCTCGCTGCTTGTTATTGGTCTGTTCAGGGTATCTAATTCTTGCTGATTTAGCACCTACCTCAAAAAGTCTGAAAGAGCAGGAGGAGGGTTGTATTTTTCCAGGAATTTATCCATCTGTTCTAAGTTTGCTAGTTTATGTGCACAAAGGTGTTCATAGTAGCCTTGTGTGATCTTTTGTATTTCAGTGGTGTCAGTTGTAATATCTCCTGTTTCATTTCTCAGTAAGGTTATGTGGATTTTCTCTCTTCTTTTCTTGGTTAATCTTGCTAATGGTCTATCAATTTTATTTACCCTTTCAAAGAATCAGGTTTTTGTTTCATTTGTCTTTTGTATTTTTTTTTGTTTGTTTGTTTCAATTTCATATAGTTCTGCTCTGATTTTGGTTATTTCCTTTCTTCTGCTGGGTTTGGGTTTGGTTTGTTCTTGTTTCTAGTTCCTTGAGGTGTGACCTTAGATTGTCTGTTTGTGCTCTTTCAGATATTTTGATGTAGGCATTTAGGGCTATGAACTTTCCTCTTAGCACCACCTTAACTGTATCCCAGAGGTTTTGATAGGTTGTGTCATTATTGTCATTCGGTTTGAATAATTTTTTAATTTCCATCTTAATTTTCCTTTTGACCCGATGCTCATTTAGGAGCAGGTTATTTAATTTCCATGTATTTGCATGGTTTTGAAGGTTTCTTTAGGACATGATTTCCAGTTTTATTCCACTGTGGTCTGAGAGAGTGCTTGATACTATTTCAATTTTCTTAAATTTATTGAGGCTCATTTTATGGCCTATCATATGGTCTATCTTGGAGAAAGTTCCATGTGCTGTTGAATAGAATGTGTATTCTGTGGTTGTTGGATGAAATGTTCTGTATGTATCTGTTAAGTCCATTTGTTCCAGGGTATAGTTTAAATCCATTGTTTCTTTGTTGACTTTCTGTCTTGATAACCTGCCTAGTGCTGTTAGTGGAGTATTAAAGTTCCCCACTATTATGGCGTTGCTGTCTGTCTCATTTCTTTGGTCTATTAGTAATTGTTTTTATAAATTTGGGAGCTCCAGTGTTAGGTGCATATACGTTTAGGATTGCCATATTTTCCTGTTAGACCAGGCCTTTTACCATTATATAATGTTCCTCTTTATCTCTTTTAACCACTGTTGCTTTAAAGTTTGTTTTGTCTGATATAAGAATAGCTACCCCTGATCGCTTTTGATGTCCATTTGCATGAAATGCCTTTTCTAACCCCACCCCTTTACTTTAAGTTTATGTGAATCCTTATGCGTTAGGTGTGTCTCCTGAAGATAGCAGATGGTTGGTGAGTTCTTATCCATCCTGTGGTTCTGTATCTTTTAAGTGGAGCATTTACACCATTTATATTCAATGTTAGTATTGAAATGTGGGGTACCGTTGCATTCATCATGCTCTTAGTTGCCTGTGTACTTTGTTTTTGTTTGTTTGTTTTTTAACTTCTATTTTTCTTTTATAGGTCCTGTGTGATTTGTGCTTTAAAGAGATTCTGTTTTAATGTGTTTCTAGGATTTAAGATTTAGAGTTCCTTTTAGCAGTTCTTGTAGTGGTGGCTTGGTAAAGGTGAATTCTCTTAGCATTTGTTTGTCTGAAAACGACTGTATATTTCCTTCATAGATGATGCTTAGTTTTGCTCGATATAAAATTCTTGTTTTGTTTGTTTGAGGAGGCTGAAAGATAGGGCCCCAATCCCTTCTAGTTTGTAGGGTTTCTGCTGAGAAACCTGCTGTTAATCTGATAGGTTTTCCTTTGTAGGTTACCTGTTGCTTCTGTCTCATACCTGTTAAGATTCTTTCCTTCGTGTTAACTCTGGATAACCGGATGACAATATGCTTAGGTGAAGATCTTTTTGCGATGAATTTCCCAGGTTGTTCTTTGTGCTGCTTGTATTTGCATGTCTAGGTCTCTAGCAATGGCAGGGAAGTTTTCCTTGATTATTCCCCCAAATATGTTTTCCAAGTGTTTAGAATTGTCTTTTTCCTCAGGAATGCTGATTATTCTTAGGTTTGGTTGTTTAACATCATCCCAGACTTCTTGGTGGCTTTGTTCCTATTTTATTATTCTTTTCTCTTTGTCTTTGTTGCATTGGATCAATTCGAAGACCTTGTCTTCAAGCTCTGAATTTCTTTCTTCTACTTATTCAACTCTATTGCTGAGACTTTCCAGAGCATTTTGCATTTCTAAAAGTGTGCCCAAAGTTTCCTGAATTTTTTATTGTTTTTTCTTTAAGCTATCGATTTTGTTGAATATTTCTCCCTTTACTTCTTGTATCATTTTTTGGATTTCCTTGCAACGGGCTTCACTTTTCTCTGGTCCCTCCCTAATTAGCTTAATAACTAACCTCCTGATTTCTTTTTCAGGTAAATCAGGGATTTCGTCTTGGTTTGGATCCATTGCTGGTGAACTAGTGTGACTTCTAGAGGGTGTCGATTAGCCTTGTTTTGTCATATTACCAGAGTTGGTTTTCTGGTTCCTTCTCATTTGGGTAGGCTCTGTCAGAGGGAATGTCTAGGGCTGAAGGCTGTTGTTCAGATGTTTTGTCCCACGAGGTGTTCCCTTGATGTAGTACTCTTGTAACGCCTAAGGTTCTTAGCCTAGCCAAGCCAAAGAATTGATGCAGTGGCTGACCACAGGAAGTGATAGAGACCCAGACCGAGAGAGAATGAGCAGTAGGTTTTATTGAGCAGAGCAGGAGTACAAAGCTTCCACAGCATGGAAGGGGTCCCAAACGGGTTGCCACTGCTGGTTTGGGTATTCACCTTTTAAGCTTTTTAAGGCTTTTTAAGATTTTTAAGGTTCCACACTGTCCAGGAACACAGACTGGGACATATGTTTGAAAACACAAGGGGAAACACATTTAACAATTGGTTGGATTACTAGGAGAGGCCTCTTGTATTCCTGTAAGGGTGGTGTTAAACAGGCTTCAGAGACAAAAATGAGAGTTAAAAGTTTCTTGTAGCCTGGAAAGGTCTAATTTCTTGTATGGACTGGGAGTACTGGAAAGCTGTACTAAGTTTTTAATCACTTTTTGGATATGCCATTCTTTAGCCTCATCTTGGACACCTCCTCTGTCAGACATACCTATATGGGTATATATAATATGTCCAACAAGCGTTGGCCCCCCATTTCTCAGGGCAGTCAGCTCAGATTATTTTTCCTTGGTGATATGTACGGCCATTGTGAGAGCAGAGAGAAGCAGTTTTATAACATTCTCTTCTCATGTAAGTATATGCGACAAAAGATGCGGGTGCTTGGAAGGGGCTACCTAATCCCCAAGAGTTTCTGAGAGAATGCCAGTTGACTCTTCCAGGAGAGGCACACTGACATGTGGTGTGTGTAGTAGTTAGAGAAAGGGATATGAGTATGAAGAAGGTGTCAGGAAGCCTAAGAGGAGTCATGACGTGTTGTAAGTGGAACGGTCGTAGGAAAGAGGAGGGAAAAAGGAGTAAATTGCTGTTAGAAGAAAGGATCATAGAAGAAAGGTTGATGTGGTTAAGATTTTTGTCCCGGCTGGAGCTACAGTATATAATCTACTGCAAATAGTATAGTTAGTATACTGCTTAATAATGTAATGAAACAGTAGAAGGATTCTATTAAAGAGAGCAAGGAGAGATGTCAAAGTTCATGTACGCGTTTTTTACTTCTCCTCCTTTAGGTAGAGAGAAGTTTCTCTTCAGGATTAATTGCAGGAGTCTTTCTAGTCTGAGATGTTTCCTTCTGAAATAGGAGACGCAGGTCCTTTAGTGGCTGACAGGTGTATCAAGGCTGGTCTGGCTGACCTTGTGACTCCTGAGTTGATCATGTAAGTTCCTCAGGGGGTGTCCAAGGTTTAACTCGAGTGTGGTGAATCCAGGATTCCACTTCTGCCACTTTAACTGCAGTGGGGGTAGAGAGGATTACCGAGTATGGTCCCTCCCATAGGGATCCATAGATGGAGAGGTAGAGGGGAGAAACTTGACTAATACTAGATCTCCTGGTTGAAACAACTCTATTCTTTTTTCCCTGTCACACCTTTTGGGTAAAGTTTTGAAGTTTTGTTGATATTTTGCCAGAGAAGTTATATCTTTGACTAAATTGGCTGTTTCCTGATTGAGCAGGAGGTCATTTGTGAGAAAAGGCCATCCATACAGCATTTCATATGGACTGAGCCCCATTCTGTGAGGGGATTTTTGAATTCTTAATAAGGCCATGGGCAAGAGAGTGGGCCATGGGAGATGAGTTTCTTGCATTAGCTTTCTCAAATGCTTCTAGAGTGTTTCATTTGTCTTTTCAACCTTCCCTTAGGATTGTGGCCTCCAGGCACAGTGAAGGTGATATTGTATTCCTAGTGCCTTGGAAATTCCTTGAGTTATTGTAGCTTTAAAAGCTGAACCACTGTCGCTCTGTAAGCTTTGGGAAAGTCCAAATCTAGGAATTATTTCATGAATTAAGACTTTAATCACTTCTTGGGACTTCTCCATTTTACAAGGGAAAGTTTCCACCCAATTTGTAAGAGTACCAACACAGACCAATAAGTACTGAAATCCTCTTGACTTTGGCATATGGGTAAAATCTAACTGCCATTCCTCTCCAGGATAATGTCCTGTTCTTTGTCCTCCTGGAGAGGCCTCACAGTGGGCCTTAAGGGGTTATTCTTTTGGCACACTTCACAGGCTTTGACTACTTGCTGGATGGCTTTGAGGAGGTTTGGCCCTGTAAATAGGGATGTGGCCATATTATGGGTACTTTCAATACCCATATGAAAAGTTTGGTGGAGGGTTTTAAGTATTTTCCACTGGCTGGCTTCAGGTATGAGCACCTTTCCTTCCTCTGTTGTTAGCCATCCCGAGGGGAGAAAATTATGTCCTCGTGAAAGTCCCCATTCTGTTTCAGTTGGGGAATAATGGGGCTTAACCTCCTGAAGAGAGTTGCTCCATACCAGGGGTCCTTCCATGGGCATGTCTGAAGGAAAGTCCTGCCTGGCAGCAATTTTGGCCTCAGTGTCTGCTCAGTGGTTTCCTTCTGCTTCTTCTCCTTCACCTTTCTGATGGCCTTGGCAGTGTAAGACTGCCACCTCCTTAGGTTTTTTCACTGCATGCAATAACTCCATGATTTCTCTGTGGTACTTAATGGGTGTTCCTCCAGAGGTTAGGAACTCCCTTTCTTTCCATATTGCATCATGTGCCTGTAGGACTAGATAAGCATACTTGCTATCTGTTACACATTTATTCTTTTCCCTTCTCCCAGCTCTAAGGCTCGGCTAAGTGCCACCAGTTCTGCTTACTGAGCACTGGTCCCTGGGGGAAGAGGCTTACTTTCAAGTACTGCTGCATCACTAACTATGGCATAGCCTGCCTTTCATACCCTATTTTCTACAAATAACTTCCATCAGAGTACAGGTTAGGGTCAGGGTTAGCTAAGGGGACTTCTAAGAGATCTTCTTGGGTGGCATAACTCTGGGTGATAATTTGTTGGCAGTCATGCTCAATTGGTTCCTCATCCTCCGGAAGAAAAGTGGCAGGGTTGAGGGCCGCACATGTGAGTATTTGAAATACTGGTCCCTCAAGGAGTAGTGCCTGGTATTTGAGTACGCTGTTATCTGAGAACCACAAACTTTCTTTAGCATTTAATCTGCTGCTTACATCATGGGTAGTCCAGACAGTGAGATCCTTTCCTTATATTATTATAATAGCCTCTGACACTAAGATGGCTACTGCTGCAACCACCTGTAAACAGTGAGGCCAGCCCTTGGCTACTACATCAATTTCTTTACTTAAGTATGCCACTGGTTGTGGGGCTTTTCCACGAGTCTGAGTAAGAACTCCAAGAGCTATTCCTGCTCTCTTGGTGACATATAGAGAGAAATTTTGTCCTGTAGGGAGGCTCAGGTCTGGAGCTTGTACTAGGGCCAGCTTTAAACTTTTGAAGGCTGTTTCCACCTCCGGTTCCCACTCTACTAGATGAGTATTCACCTTCCGAGTCTCCTATATCTGGGTATAGGGTGGCCTGGCCATTTCACTGTGTCCAGGAATTCACAGTTGGCAAAAAACAGTGATTCCTAGGAACCCCCACAATGGTTTCAATGTCTTAGGGTGAGGATAGGCCAGTATAGGCTGAATATGCTCTTTGTCAAGTGCCCTAGTTCCTTTGGCTAGGACTAGGCCTAGATATTTAACTTGTTGTAGACAGAGCTGGGCCTTTGTCCCAGGCACTTTGTAACCTTGATTAGAGGACCAGAGTGCCTGGACTTGAGAATTGGCCTAGGTCTTGGGCCAATGCCTGACCGAACAGATGAGGGCTATCTCTAAATCCTTGGGGCAAGACCATCCACATAAGCTGGGACGTGTGGTCTGTAGGATCCTCAAAGGCAAAGAGGAACTGGGAGTCAGAGTGCAGGGGAATGCAGAAGAAGGCATCTTTGAGGTCCAGAACAGTGAACCATTCTGCTTCCTCTGGTATCTGAGAGAGCAGTGTATAGGGGTTGGGTACAGCAGGATATAAAGGAATTATTGCCTCATTGATGATTCTGAGGTCTTGCACTAGTCTCCACTGACCATTTGGTTTTTGTATTCCTAGGATTGAGGTGTTGCAAGGACTGCTACATCTTCTTACTAAGCCTTGAGCTTTTAAATGTCTAACAATATCCTGTAATCCTTTGTGAGCTTCAGGCCTTAAGGGATATTGCCTTTGATAAGGAAAAGCGATGGGGTCTTTTAGCCTGATTTGAACGGGATGGGGAGTTTTTGCCCTTCCAAATTGTCCTTCCAAGGCCCAGACTTCAGAGTTGATTCCTTCTTCAAGTAGGGGACAACAAATGGGTAATTTGTTCCCCACATTCATGTAGATAATAGCTCCAGCTTTGACTAATATGACCCTCCCTAATAAGGGTGTGGGACTTTCGGGCATAATAAGAAAGGCATGTGAAAAGAGCAAAGTCTCCCAACTGCAGCTGAGGAGGTGAGAGAAATACCTGGTAAGATTCCTCGGATAGTAACAGAGTTTGAGGACAGTCGTCTGGGGCAGGAGATTAAAACTGAGAAGGCTGTACCAGTGTCCAGGAGGAAGTCCACTTCCTGGCCCTCAGTGGTCAAACTTACCCGGGGCTCTGTGTGGGTTGATGGCATGAGCTGGTGCTTGCCCCGGGCACCCTCAGTCCTGTTGCTGAATCATCTGGTTGGGCGCTTCTGGTCCAGAGGTCCTTCATCCTCTGGGGCAGTGGACCTTCCAGTGATTGCCTTGGCATATTAGACATGGGTGAGGGGGCGGTTTGTTTCTTGTTGGACAATCTTTCTTAAAGTGTCCTTGCAAACTGCACTGATAACAAGCCCTACTAGGCAATTGGCCTGCTCCTCTTTTGGTTTCCTCTGAGCAACCAAGGTCTGCCTGTCTGAGGGCCATGACTAAGGCTGCAGCCTCTCTTTTATCTCACTTTTCCCTTTTGGTCTGTTCCTCTTGGTCCCTGTTATAGAACACCGAGGTTACCAGGTTTAATAATGTCTCCAAATTTTGTTCTGTGCCTAAAGCAGGCTTTTGGACTTTTCTCCTAATGTCAGCTGCTGATTGGGTGATAAATTTATCCTTTAGAATAAGTTGGCCTTCCAGGGAATTCAGAGTTAGGGAGGTGTGCTTTCTTAGAGCCTCCCACAGCCTTTCTAGAAAGGCTGAGGGATTTTCCTCTTTTCCCTGTGTAATTGTGGATAGCATTGAGTAGTTCATAGGCTTCTTCCTAGTTCTCCTTAACCCTTTCAAGATACAAGTCAGGAAGTGCCTGTTGCTCCAATCTCCATGATCTGAGTTGGTATCCCAATGGGGGTCTACACTGGGGACTACCTGTTGCCCTGTGAAGAATTTTTCCTTTTCCTCCAGGATCATTCAATTGTTTACCTGGCTGAGATACCATAAATCTCCAAATTGCTGGGCTGCCGCCAAACTGCCTCCTTTTCAGTAGGACTTAAGGTCTGATCAAGGAGCAACATGATATCCCTCCATGCTAGATCAAAGGACTGCCCTAACCCTTGTAAGACATCTATATAGTGTTATGGGGATCATCCGAGAATTCCCCTAAATCTGTCTTTATTTGTTTTAAATCTGAGAGTGAGAAAGAGACATGTACACGGGTGGGCCCAAATTCCCCTCCTACTGTTTGTAAGGGACATAGTTTGGGTATGTGGTTCGCGGAGCTTGTGTTTTCTTTTCGGGGTGCCTCTAACACTTTGGTGAGGCCTGATGGTGGAGAGTGAGTGAGGAAGGAGAATGGGAGGAGACCCTGAGTATGGATGCAATTGTGGGTCTCTGTCATTTGGGCAAAGCTTGCAGGCTTGGCACAAGGCAATATTGTCACGAAGGGCAAAGAAAACCTGTACATAAGGGACTTCACTCCATTTACCTTCCCATTTACAGAAAAGATCTAGTTGTAGAATGGTGTTATAATTAATACTTCCCTCAGGGGGCCAAGTTTCTCCATTTTGTAAGGAATACTGTGGCCAGGCATTGGTACAGAAGAAAATCAGCCACTTCTTTTTTAAGGTCTTGGGTCGAATTTGTCCCAGTTATTCAGGATACATCTTAAGGGAGTGTCCGGTTTTGAAGGTGTGGTGCCCATTTGAAATTTTAAACACAGGGATGCCCGCAACCTGGTTAGTCTTAGGGACTCATCTTCCCTTAGGGCATCCCCCAAGGGTCAAGTCTAATTGTGCTTGAAGTGCATGGTCGCCCTTGAGCCTCCCATTTGCCAGATTTAACCATGCTTACTGACGGAATGGAAACTGTCCTTGTCTCCTGCCATGCGCCCATAGGCCACTAGATGGGGCACGAGGATGGTTGGATTTATTGTAGTCCTTTTGCCAATGCATCCTACCTGTTCCAAGATGGCAAGGCCTGGGTCAGGGGCACCACTGATGCTTGCATGCTAAGGCCCAATTTACGTGGGCCTGGCCATAAAACTGTCCTTCAAGGAGAAATCTCTGAATCAGCGACAGGAGGCTTAGTAAGCTTAAAGAGGTTGGTGGATGTCCTCTAGGCCAGGGCCGAGAGAACAGCTGCTGTACTTTAGCCTTCTGTCCCCACTTGCCATCAAAGGAGTAAGCCTCTCTCTCAAGGGGGTACCAGTATCCTGTGTCCCAACTGACTATATTTTCTTCCATCCAATACCAATTATTGAATGGTTGAAACAACAATTCAACAGCTCTAAGACCCATGCCTGTGCACCACAGATTGTACTTGAGAGGCCCCAAGGAAGGGGAAAGTCTATCCGGGGAGCAATGGAGGAAATGCTCTAAGGCTTCTCCTATCCACATGAAAATTACAGACCTGTTTAAATTGTCCTGATGTGGGGGACCATACACTATGCTGGGGAACTGGCCCTTCAAAATAGCCATCAAATGGCGACAACTGCCTAAACCCTGGAGGGCACCATGAACAGGGATCTTCTGGGCACCACCCCAAGAATTTAAGGCTTCTAAATAGGGAATCTCGATCCTGCCTAGTGGGAATAATCTTGCTTATGAGTTGAGGGACAAAGTCTAACTGGTGGGCATTAGGACCCAGGAGGCAGGAGTCAGAAGATGTGGCTGTCTCATGCTCAGTAACCCATGCAGGGGGAGCCTCTGGCGGGGCCATAGTATCAACCAGGATATCTGGGAGACCAGGACGTCCGCTGAGTGCTCCTGGGTGTATTTCGGGACCACCATGGAAAGCGAAAGAGTTAGAACTGGTTCCAGGCAAACCAATGCTCCTGACTCCGAAGGGTCGGGGGTTGTTAGAGAGCCCTTTCCCAGACAGCCTGACACTCGTGTCTTTAGTCCGGCAGCCACACTAATCCCCTTTAAATGGCAGACAGGTGCCCAGTGTTTAGCCTTTGAATTCTAAGGAAGGACAGGACAGAATAGCAAATGAAAGAGGTCCATGGTGCTCACTTCGTGGTGATTGGGATGCATTTCCTGGAGTCTTCTGGCTGGCTCCCCAAATGTAACACCTAAGGTTCTTAACCTAGCCACACCAAGAATTGGTGCGGTGGCTGACCATGGCAAATGATAGAGACCTGGACTGAGAGAGAGTGAGCAGTAGGTTTCATTGAGCAGAGCAAGGGTACAAAGGTTCCACAGTGTGGAAGGGGTCTCAAACAGGTTGCCACTGCTAGTTTGGGTATTCGCCTTTCAAACGTTTTAAGTTGGGAGATACATGAGGCGGGAAGCTTGTTACAGGAGTGAGAAACAAAGGCAGTAAATTGTTTTGTGATATGTCTTAGACTTTGAGGAAAATCAGAATTGCAACTTAGGCTTTATCTACTTTATGACCTTACAGCGGCATGGCAAAAGAGACAGGATCTTACGGGACTTTACAAAGTATGTTTACAAAGAATTGGAATTGGGAGTGTAGATAAGGTCTGCTGGTCACAGAAAAATGGGCAGTTAACATTCCCTCTACTTTAGTTTCAGGGGAGGGGGAAGGGAGAGAGGGAGAGAGGACACGGGGACACTAACAGCAAAATTTTTGCTGTTTATAGCTTTCTTGGGGAAGAAAACACATGCACAAATCGTGGTGTTAGGAATATTTTAAGCATATATCTTCAATATTATTCATCCAGGACCGAAGTAAGTCCGGATGCAGGAAATGAGTGAGTTTCACAGCTTTCTGAGCCCCTACTTGGCCCAGGAAGCCCAACTGGTACCTCCTCTCACTTTCCCCCTTTTCCTGTGGATGTGGCTTCCTGTGAGCTGAACTGCAGTGATTGTTGTCTCTCTTCTGGGTCTAGCCATCCAGTGAGTCTACCTGGCTCTGGGTTGGTACTGGGGGTTTCTGTACAGAGTCCTGTTATGTGAATCATCTATGGGTCTCTCAGTCGTGGATACCAGTGCCTGTTTTGTGGAGGTGGCAGAGGGTGCAATGGACTCCATGAGGGTTCTTGGCTTTGGTGGTTTAATACTGTATTTTTGTGGTGGTTGGCCTCTTGCCAGCAGGTGGCGCTTTCCAGAAAACATCAGCTATACTAGTATGGGGAGGAACCAGTGGTGAGGGCCCTAGAACTCCCAAGATTATATGTCCTTTGTCTTCCGCTACCAGGGTGGATAGGGAAGGCCCATCAGGTGGGGGCAGGACTAGGCGTGTTTGAGCTCTGACTCTCCTTGGGCGGGTCTTGCTGATGCTGCTGTGGGGATAGGGTGAGATTCCCAGGTCACTGGAGTTGTGTACCTAGGATTATGGCTGCCTCTGATGACTCATGCAGGTTGTTAGGGAAGTGGGGGAAAGCTAGCAGTCACAGGCCTCATCCAGCTCCCATGCGAACTGAAGGGCTGGTCTCACTCCCGCCCTTCCCCTGCCACAACAGCCCCGAGTCTGTTTCCAGGCAGAGGGTGAGTCAGGTTTGAAAACTTGCATGAGGCTTCCTGCTTCCCAGCTGCCAAAGAAAAGGGCTTTAGTTCTTCCCCGTCCTGTGAAGTCTGCAAGCCGGATTTGCATCCTTCCCCATGTTCTGGCCAGGAGGTTTCTCTCCCCACTCAAATTATTACAAAGTTCACCTTGGGAAGTTCTTATCCCAATGGAGTTTTACCCCCTGCTCCTCTGGCCCCCTTCCTGATGGATCCCTGTGGTTCCAGGCAGGAATGGGGTTGCTTGGGGATTCAGTGAGTTCCCGTGGCCTCCCTGCTGCCTCCTCTGCCCCTGTATTTTCCTCAGCTCAGCTCTGTAACTTGACTCAGCTCCAGGTAAAGTCAGGAACTTCTCCCACAGACCTTCAACTTCTCCAGTGTGGGTGTGTGTTCAGGAGAGGAGAGTCTCCCTTTCCCACTTCTGCAGTTAGAGCACTTACAGTATTTGGAGTGTCTCCCGGCTCCTGCAGGAGCAGTCTGCTTTCTTCTGAGGGTCTGTGGGTCCTCTCAGGGTTGCTGGTTTGTTCTTGCAGTCAGTCTGGAGCTAAAATTCACAAGCAAGCCTCCACATGCTGCTCTGTCCAGAGCTGCAATCTAGTCCTGCCTCCCATCCACCATGATCCCTCCAATCACATTCCCTTTTTGGGGATATTTTTGACCCCTGGTTGGTTGAATTCAAGGATGCAGAGCATGTGGATACAGAGGGCTGACTATACTAATCCAAGAGAGAGCAGACATCAGAGCAAAGGACATTATTAGGCATAAAGAGGGCCATTGCATAATGACAAAGGGGTAAATACTCCAAGAAAAGATACAACAATCCTTAACGTGTATGCACCTAATGACAGAGCGCCCAGACATGTGAAACAAAAACTTATAGTACTGCAAGGAGAAATAGATACATCTACCATTATATTTGGAGACTTTAATTCTTCTCTATCAGAAATGGACAGATTCTGTGGGTAGAAAATCTGTAAAACAGTTGAACTCAATGGCACCATCAATTAACTGGATCTAATTGACATCCGTAGACTACTTCATCCAACAACAGATTAAACATTCTTCTCAAGGTTACGTGGACATTGATCAAGGGAGACCATATACCGGGCTATGAAATGCACTTTAACCAAGATGTCCTTCAGTAGGTGAGTGGATAAATAGACTGGTACATCCAGACAATGGAATATTATTCCACACTAAAAGGATGAGCTATCTAGCCCTGAAAAAACATGGAAGAACATTAAATGCATGTTACTTAGTGAAAGAAGCCAATGTGAAAAGGCTACATACTGTTTGATTCTAACTCTATATCATTCTGGAAAAGGTAAAACTATGGAGACAGTAAATAAATTAGTGGTTGCCAGGGGTTAGGGGAAAGGGCAGGTTGAATAGGCAGAACACAGTGGAATTTTAGGGCAATGAAACTCTTCTATACCATATTACAATGGTTGATACATGTCATTATATATTTGTCAAAACCCATAGAATATACAACACCTAGAGTGTACCCTAATTTAAACTGTAGACTTTAGATAGTAATGATGTGTCAATGTATGTTCATCAATTGGAACAAATGTACCACTTTGGTGGGGTATGTTGATAATGGGGGAGGCTCTGCATATTGGGAGTTAGGGGTACATGGGAAATCTCTGTACCTTCTGATTAATTTTGCTATGAACCTAAAAGTTGTATTAAACATAAAGTTTATAAATTAAAAAAGGACTTGACACTGAAAATGTATACTTTCCTGAGTGGACATGCAGCTTTGCAGGTTTGTTGTTTGTTTCATTTGTAACTGTGGGAGATACTCTCAACACCTGAGACTTGTCTAGAAGTGATCACAGACACAAGATGGTCTGAGCCCTGAAATCAACAAGGGGGTATATCCACAGTTATTTGAAATGAAGTTTGTTTTTTTGTGATGGTTTTGTGTCCAGTTGGTGCTGTCACTGGCTGAGAGTCTAATGTATGAAAAATCAAACTTAAAATCTGAGTTTCTTTCTTTTTCTTTCATTTTTCATAGTACCAGTAGGAAGGATAGTGAACAGAAATTTTTTGACTGCTTGCTTTAACTATTAATAGTGAATAAGCACATTTTATTTTGTGGGAGGAGGTAAAAAGAGCATGGATGTTGCTGGCCTTTAAAGCTTTACAATTTCCTCTTCTCAGATAGCTAGTTTTAACATTTTGAAACAATTAACTATGCAATGAGATCTTTTGTGAGACTTTTCCTGCAGTTCAGGAAGTTTAGCTAAAGCTCACATTTGAGAAAAAATATCTCTTATACTCTGAACTCTAAAGAAAAGTACAACTGATATACAATATTTAAATCTAGACTCCACCCTAAAGGGCTTTACATGTGACCCAAACCAAATGTGTTTTACTCACCTCACACATGGACACCCACTCCCTGTCTCCTAAACAAATATTTTCCAGTCTATATGAAAAGAAGATGGAAAGTGGTAGAACAAAGAGAAGCCAACCCTGAGGGGAGTAGAATTCTCAATGTAAGAGGTTGTTCTTCTTCTGAAGGCAATAGAGGTGTCTTGTATGTTAGAATGGATGAGGGTTTACAAAACACTGGTGTAGACTGGTGAGTGTATGGAGAGGCTTACAGGAAAGAAAGCTCTATTTTCATTTTCTGGATGAAAAAATATTGAGCTAAAACTATGTAGACCAAACTGATATTGCTCCTGGTATGTGAGAAGCTAACATGAATCCCCTGAAATTAAATTAAAGGGCATTTGTGAACATACAGACTTGCTTCTTCATATTTATTTCAGAAGGCAGGAAAATTGAAGGGACTTTCCATCAGGGCTTGAAAAGACTGTAGCATAATTTTGCAGGAGTTGGGGACAACCTTGTCCCTTCCAGTTCTCCATAATCCTCAGAAACCACAGAAGAGAACCTCTACATACCCAAAGCTCTCAGGTGTGGGAGTGTAGGGGATAGAGAAGGGACGGGAGCTCTTGGACTCCCCAGTCAGGTGCCATGACCACTAATAGTCCTTTTCATCTGAAGAAGGCATTTGGGGAATAGTCCACTGGCAGGAGATCAAGGGAGTCCAGCTGCCCCTCTCTGAGGGATCCTCAGCAACAGAGGAGGCCAGAGTGAAGCTGAGCATGGTCCTGTGAAAAGCATGCACAACACTTTTGCAGACTGAATAAGCCAGATGAAATAGGTCAAATCATTCACCACATACACACATATAATAATATCTCTGGGTCCCCTGCTCCCATTTATTTCTCTCAACATAGGAACTTAGACCCTGAAATTGGAGGAAAAAGCAAAATTCTGTCCATACCACTCCAACCAGACAACACCACAGCTGTAACCTGTACTGGATGAGAAAATAATTTTTTTAATAGAGACGGGGTCTTGCTATGTTGTCCAGTCTGGTCTTGAACTCCTAGGTTCAAGAAATCCTCCTGCCTTAGCCTCCCAAAGTGCAGGGATTGCAGGCTTGAGCCACTATGCCTGGCCAAGAGGAATAGGTAAATGGATATGAAGTTAAAATTATGAACTGGACAGGGCTAAGTTTTAGTAACTGAAACTGATCAGAACATTATAGAATCTTTCTAGGTTGTAAAAGAAAGGGAAAGAGGATATGTATGAACTACAGTGGGTGCTGAGGCACTAAGAAATATATTAGTTTTCTGTTGTTAAGGTACAAATTATCACACATTTAGCAGCTTAAAATGACATATGTTTATGATCTCAGTTTCAGGAGGCCAGGAATCTGGAAACTCAAGATCTTATTCCAAGATCAGTCAGGTTGTTGGTAGAATTTAGTTTCTTACAGTTACGGAATTCAGGTCCTCAATTCTTAGAGGCAGGCCCTTTCCATAGGTAGTTTACAACTCAACTGTTTGCTTCTTCAAGGCCAGCAGGAAAGCACTTCTGCTGCTTGAGGAAGGGCTAAGACCCTCTTTCAAAGAGCACAGCTGATTAGGTCAGGCCCACTTAGGATCAAGTCTTTTTGAATAAGTCAAAGTCAACTGATAAGGAAATCTAAATGCACCTGCAAAAGTCCCTTCACCTTTGCAATCTATCCAACCTAATCATGGAAGTGACATCCATCATAATTACAGGTCCTGGCCACACTGAAGAGGAAGACGATACGTTCAAGTGGTGATATGCCTCAGTGAGTAAGAATTTTGGGACCATCTAAGATGGTAGACAGAATACTAAGTATTCTGTCTACCACAGGAATGTTGGCACCTGTGAAGATTAAGACAGTGTATGCCTCACCTAAATTCAAATTCTATTTTCTTACAATCACTGCAGGCAAAACAAAATACTGCTTAGGTCTATAGGCTATGAGGTTGTAACTCCTAAATTATTTCCTGTTTATAATCTATTGAATTGTGACCCTTTAACCTATTACAGCTAAACTGACAGATTACTGGTCAAAATGAATTTGCTGTTTGTTCACATTGAAATAGTCCGCATGACAATAAGAACGATTTTGATGAAATTTACCAGGCCAAAGCTCGATTGCAAGGCTTTTTTTTTGTTTTTTGAGTAATTTCGCAACCCTTGGTCTTATTTAATATGCAGAGTACTTATCTCTGGTGAGTTAATGTCTTTCAAAAATTTTAGCTCTATTCCTGAATAATGATGGAGAGGTCTTATTAATTGCAATTTTTATAACATTTTCAAGCACCATTTTGTTATTCAGTGGATATCAATTATTTTTAAAAAGATATATTTTAGCATGTAAAAGAAAAGTCAGAAGTTTATTTTCAGGAGCAACAAGATAAAACCTGAGTCTGGGAATTGAAGTTGTGTGGTCAGTGAAGTTACTTATTTTCTTCTGAAACAAAAATTTACATTTATCTTTATATTTTTTTCTGGAAAGAAAAAGGTTAGCCACAGTTACTTATCACAACCTACTTCTGCTAAGCTTTTCCTTAATTAAAATAAGTGTTTGTGACTAGCAACAGTTATTAAAAGCACATAATATAAATATCTTCTCACATATATTGCTCCTTTTTGTTGTTTAGAAAGAGCACCAGATTATTACCACATAATTTCTTCTCTGATAATCCTTTTAATAAGGGAATAAACTTCAGGAAGTGGTTTTAAAAAATATTACGGCTGAAAAGTGCTAGTGAGAGGAAACTACAGACCTAAACAGCTTTTCCATTTCTTTGGATTTTATATTTTTAACAATAGATTGCATAGTTAGTTGCCTGCTTGGCAAGTTTATTATCCTTATCCAGTTGCCAAGCGAGAAACATTTCCAAACTGACAGCAGGTATTAAAAACACCTACAAGTGATTCAAGCCATTAAGAACTCATAAAACTTGAGTGTTCACTGGGCTTTGCTTTGTTGGCCAGGCTTTTCCTCAGGGAGCCCCCCTCCAGCTCCTGAAAGGAGATGACAGGCATTTCAAGGTGAAAGCATCAGCTTTTAACTGAAACTCTTAGGGTTCCACCCAAACAAAAAGAGAGTATTTTCCTCATATCTAAATATTTAAAGCTGATTCGTCAACTAATCTGGATTAAGAACAAAGGGCATCTGTGTTTCTCTGATACTGTCTAAAGTACTCGTAAAAAGCAGTTGTGGTGTAACTTACCGAACCCATACTTTTCTTTTATATTTTGTTAGTGTCTGTAAAAGGAAGATATCACTTCAGATTTCTTTGTAATGTAGATGCTTAGCAGTTTTTCCTATCATTGTTGAGGGCTGGGTTCATTTGAAAGGCTCTGGTTCAGTTTACTGAGAATTCCATACAGGGATTATGAACTCAAATTACCTATAGGGTTCAGGAAGATAACATAAATATGCAAATTAAGGGGGGGACTGAAGCAGTCAGGAGTATGGGATCCCTTGTGAACAGGACGGGACACATCTCACCTAAATGCATATTCATTTTTATTGTTAACACAAAAACCAAACAAAATACTTGTTAGATCTACAGACCACAAGTTTGAAACTCCTAATCTAGCCTTTGAAAGGAAACTCTGATATCCCCAAGAAAATCATATATTGGACCCCTCACTAAAATGGCCAACTCACTGTCTGTAAGACAATCAAACAATGGGATGAAGAAAATGAATTTAAACAGAACTTCTTTAAAAACTTAAAAGACTTAAGTATCTGCTGGGGAACATTACTTCTTTTACTTTAAAACATATTAAGATGCATGACTTTGAAGCATTGCTTGCCTGTAAGTCTTAGCTAAGGGCAAACATTTTATTGGTGCTCCAACACCCTATTATTAGATTTATTTCAGAACGTTCTCTTAACTTTGCATCTAGTAGTACTATACAAAAATATTTTATATAAAAATAAAAAATAACAGTAATTACATTTTTAAAAATATCCACATCCACAAGAGCAGAGGGAATGATAGGGGGCAGGTAACAGTGGGTGAGTGTTGGCAGGATACCAGCATTTTTATTTTTTTATTTTTTATTTTTTTGAGACTGAGTTTCGCTCTTGTTGCCCAGGCTGGAGTGCAATGGCGCGATCTCGGCTCACTGCAACCTCCGCCTCCCGGGTTCAAGCGATTCTCCTGCCTCAGCCTCCAAGTAGCTGGGATTACAGGCATGCACCACCACATCTGGCTGATTTTGTACTTTTAATAGAGACGGGGTTTCTCCTTGTTGGTCAGGCTGGTCTCAAACTGCCGACCTCAGGTGATCCGCCCACCTCGGCCTCCCAAAGTGCTGGGATTACAGGCGTGAGCCACCGTGCCCGGCAGTATATATTTTTAAGATTGGAAGTTCATAGTTGGGTGAGAAGTACCTGAAAGTGGAAGAGGCTGAAACCTAAAAACATATCGGGGGCAGGCGGAGGGTGGGGGTGCGGGAGTGGTGCTAGTAAATGCCAATTGATTCATCTGTCAAACCCTAGAATAACTCAGAAATTCAAGAAACCAGGTCAATGGAAAGATGGAAATAAATGATGTGACAACAACTGGGGGTTGAGGGACTATTTGGAAGCCTGAAAGAGCTATTAGAATCCCTGGATATCTACTTTATTCCACAGAGTAAAGTTATTAGTCCAGCCCGGCCCTCAAAAAAACTGGTTGATGTATATTTTGGAGCAATTGCATTCTGTACTCTAAGAAGCCAGACATATTGGAAGGAGAGGTTGAGGTAGTGTGCTGAGAACAGGTGTTTTGTTTCAAATATACTGGCAGCCAGACAAACCCCCAGGCAGGAGACTGGAGGTTGGGAGAAACTAAATCTCAAAGAAGAGATGTACAGAGAGTGATATTTTGGTGTACCTGACCAATCACATGGCAATGAAGAAGTTTCAATAGTTAGTGTATCATTTAAAAAAATTGAAAATAGATATATATGTAATTATTAAATATTTCAAGCAAAGAAAGCAACACACACCCATGAGTATACGATCAAAATTTTAAAAGATGCTAATATTTTCCATATTAGCTTCAAAGTTTTCTCTTTAAGAAAAATAAATTAGCTACTGCTAAAGTAGCATCCTGATCCTTTCATTCTCTATTCATCCCATTCACTTTGAGGTGAACACATTCCTGTATTATTCCCTTGCAAGCTTATCTATTTTTACTCTATATATGTATTCATAAACAATATATATTATTATTTCATGTGTTTAAACATTTTTAATACATTGTATTATTAATGTGTTTCTTTGGTTAACTTCAATTCTTCAATTAATCATAATTTATACATGCACCCACATACTATATATAGAGAAAGCCATATTTGGCTCTGTGTTCATGAACAAAGTTCCCCAAAGATTTTTCTCTTTTTTTTTTTTTTTTAACCAAGGTTATGTTAGCCTCACCAAATTAGTTTAATTAACATTTATTTTTCTGTTCTTTGCAGCAAATTGTAAAAGATACTGGTTTTAGGTTCCTTAATTTTTTCTATTACCTTCTTATAAAACTATCTGGGTCTGGTGGTTTGTGCATGTGTGTTTATGTACATTTAAGATTTTAACTACAAATTTGATTTTTTTGCTAATGGTTGGAAGTTTATTGACATATTGTATTTCTCCTTATGTCAATGTTGGTGAGTTATACTTTCTAAAAAAGTATCTGTTTTTCCAAGTTTTCAAATTTAATATCATAAAATATGCATTCAATTTCTGTTGTTAAAAATCTGTACTGTATCTTTATATGTACATATTGTTTGTGTGTGCCCTCATACTTTTTTCTTTGATCAACTTTATTAGAAGTTTGCCTATTAGTCTATTAGTTTATTAGTCCACGTTTTCAATTTCATTTATTATCTTAATGTTATTATTTCTTCTTTTATTTGGCTTAAACTTTTAAAACTTTGAACACTTTTGATTTGCTAATATGTACACTTAAATTTATAAATTTCTTTTTAGTTACAATCCACAAGTTTTCGTATTTATGTTTACTGTCATGCAGGTTTAAATCTTATCTAATTTCAACTTTGATTTATGATATAATTCAGTTATTTAGTTTTCTACTAGTAGAGGCAACACATTTATAGTTATCACAGTACATTCTGTATATGTGTAAGAAAACTTGGAATCACAAATAAGCAAAATAATTTTAAAAAGCAGTCTAAATGGTCTAAATGAAAAATCATATTTTGTTAAGTAACATGTAAGTACACCCTCTTTAGCTATGTTTGTTAAGTCAGTGGCTTTGTGGATAATCTTCTTAAATTCACTATTTGCTTTTGAAGGAGATACTAGTATTTCTCTAGTAGATTATGTCTTCTGGTTTTCACTTGGCCAGTGATATCTCTCTGACTCCCATGATAGATGGCAAATGTAGACACATATTTTAGGCAATTTATACATTTATCATCAACTTTCTTAAGAAATGGAGATTTGGTACTTAAGTTTTCAATAAACATATGCACTTATTTTGGTTCATTGCTTCCAAAATAGTTTATTTAGAAATAATAATGAGTTGGCAAAACTGAAGTAAGTACTTACAGATTAACAACAAATAATAAAAGACAAAATTACTGTAACCAAAATGTTCAGACCACTCAATGTGATGTGAAGGATTGGTCAACATCTATATCATGTACCCATTTCAAACATTTAACCTACAATTTTCTATCTTGCTCATTTGCCCAACTGACTGGTAGCTTTGTGCATCCTTCAGGCTTTGACACCAGCCACAGTACGACTTATTGGATATTAAACAGTTGATGGAGTAGCAGCAGATAATACTTCTCCTTCTGCCATTCCAGAACTGAAAAGGTCATTATCTTCAGTTTCTTGCCTCTCAGAGCACTTGTTTTGTCAGCTTGCACCTGACAGGCTATTCTGATAGAAAGAGTTAGTTTCAGATGTCTGTAAAGGGTACAGAAACCAGAGATGGGCTTTTCAAGGTCCTCATTCAGGCTTAACCATGCAATGGGAATTCTGTTCATAGAACACATGTCTCATACTCATAGCTAGATGAAATCATGCTAGAAGCTACAAGCACAAAGGAGGGGTCCACCAATCTTTGGGAATCTGTTCGTCAAACTAGCAAGGTTTCAAAATATTGATAATTTGACCTTTGTGTTCTAGAATAAAATCATCCTAAATTTTACAACAATCGGTGGCAGGGGATGCTCAACCAGACTATCTTAATTTTGTTCCCATTGGCAGTAAGGCATTTTATATTAATGAAGTAAGTAAGAGTTAACAAGTAGAAATCTTACAGGCACTTCTAGATTCTTGCATCTCACAACTTCCTTCCAGGTTATGGTTTTCTTTTTTCAAATTGTGTTATTTAGCAGTTCTTTCAAAGTGGGTCTAAGGTAACAACATTCTTAGACTTAATATTTAGAAAATTTTTTTTCATTATTTGATGATTTTTCACTGAGCATAGAATTATGTAGTCTGTTTCTATTTTTCCTCAATTTGTTTAAGCTTTCAATCTCTATTATTCTGGTCCTATCACTTTAATATTCCATCAGTTTCATGTTTCTAGTCATTGGTTTATTCATTATTATTTAGCTTATTATTATTATTTAGCTTATTCATTGTTTCTTTTAAAATATCAATAAGCATTTTTTTTTAATTTCTAAGGTCTCTAATGGGCCTTTTAAAATATTAAATCTATGATTTAATGATTGTCTGTTCATATCTTAAACTTCCCATTTTATTTTGTAGATACTACTTACACCTTTATTTATGAAGATTTTCAAAGCTATGTACTTTAAAGGTCTTTGCAGATGTATTTTATCTCTAGTTTCTTAGATGGTAAAATCTCTTATTTTTGGATTTTGAGTACCCACTTTCATGGTGCAGGTGCTTCTCGTAAGCTTGATTATTATATTTTATGAGCTTAACTTCCAAAAAATATTTCTTCTTTGAGTGCCTTGGATTGGGACGATTTTGTGAGGCAATCTTTTTTTTTTTCTTCTCTTTTTCTTTTCTTCTCTCAATTTTTCACACCTTGTCTGATCTATTCTCTCCTTCTCTTCTTCCTTGCCATTCATTCTCTCTCTCTTTTTTTTCTCTCTCTCATAAAAGGGAACATACTACTTTGCTTAAATTACAGATACATATTTTTTCCTTTCAAGCATAGCTAGATATTTAAAAGTATTTAAAATATTTTAATTATTTATCATTTCTGGGTTTATACAAAAAGAGGAAGCTTTCAAAATATATTACCTTGACCCAGAAACTAGGCCACTTTACCTTTACACTAAAACTAACTACATTAATCCAAATGACAAGAAGATAAGGTACAGATATTTGAAAAGTCTATTGTGTGTAAAGTTCAACTCCAGGGTGCCATTGAAATCTCCTGAAGTTTAGGGTACATCAGAAAATGTATAGATTTGTATTTTAGCCTGAGACATGCATGTGTATGAAGCAATTGGTGGTACACGTGATGTAGTGTACACAGATAGTAATACGAAAAGAACCAGTAAAACATTTCCTGTTTTCTTCTCAGCCAGGGACAAGCTCTTAGATTCTGCCTTTTGTAAACTCTTTGAAGAACAAAAGAGTATTTTCTGTAGGATTTGGGGGCTGAAAATGTAATTATGGATTCCAAGCAGGGGAAAAATGTATTCTATTTCTAATGGTGTGATGAGCAAAAGGATTAATGGCAAAGATTTTTTCTCTTTAATATTCTAAAAATGAAGATGTGATAATATAATGTGCACAAATAGAGTAAATGTTCTCAATGATTATAACAATTTGAAGATTTCCAGAAGGTAGAATTCTAACTTTTAAAATATGACTTGGATTATCTAATTAAAATTTAGCAAAAATTAGCATAACATATCAGCATTATTATAATACTAAGAGGTTGAAACACAGGACCAAAGTGGCAAAATATTTTGAGACTATGCATGAGGTCAGTGTTTGGTCTGACAAACTCGTACAATCCTTTAAAAATAACTGTGTAAATACATTGGGGAAAATTTGTCTAAATAAAGCTTGCTAGTTGTACATCACTAAATTCACTTCAAAATATTAACCATGCATGATTATTAAAAGTCTGGGCTTAGCTGCCTACTTTAACTTTGAAGCATCATTCACAGTTAGGTTTGAAGTCTCAAAGTGCACCCATCCTTAGAAGATTGCAGGGAATAGAGGTTAGAACAGTCTTAAACTTCCCACCAGCATTTTTCTGTTTTAGGAATCAGAACTTTAATTTGCATTACTTCAGTGACTTAAAACTCTCCCACTTGGCTGGACTTCTTGTCTTCTTGAGCACATTTTAACAGTGTCAATGGAAAATTATGTAAGTAGAGATTTAACTCGTATTGCAGAATTGCAGATTTCCCTCAGTAAATAGTTTCTAGCTGAAATCTCAAATGGGTTTGTTTTGCAAACTGATAGAGTAAATCAGAACATGTTTCTGTTGTGCTATTTCTAACTTTGGACTGTTGCATTTCTAATGATGAATGAACTAATTATGAGAACTAAGGATTTGAGTATGAGGGAAAAAGTATTTGTTAAGATTGTCACGATGGCCACTTTTGAGGGGACTCTAATTTCTGGTTTTGTCCTTCTCCCCCTTTACATATATTTTTACTTTTCCTAGTTCCATCATAACACACACATACCCTAATTGCCCAATATGTTAATTTATCATGAGAAATATATCTGCCTTCATGACCTGGCATATTTACTACCTACAAACCAATCTTCCTGGGAAGCAAAATCTAATTAAAAGCTGACAGGCAAGCGTAGCATCATGCAAAGGCAATGATTTGAATATAGTTAATAACTGATGTTACGAATCTGGTGGATTCATTTCTGTCCACTATGGGGCAAAATCTGACATAGGGACCGGATATGATGTTCATGCATCATGGTACCTTCTAACCTAAAGATAGATTCTGGAGACTTATTATTTGTGTATTTATCTGTTTATTGTGTTTATAGAGGTCCTTAGATTTCTTAAAGCTCAATATAGGCATCAGATTATATGTTATAGCCTTGTTCCTTAGTAACATGATCTTTATAACAAATTCAATTCATAACATATAGCTAATTACTAAGATAAATATATCTTGTCTCTTAATTTGTATGTTACATACTTAGGGTAAAAAAGAAATTCTCTGTCAGAAAGTGTGTGACATTGCACCATTTTCATCAAATTCAATATATCCTTAGATGCAACTTCCAAAAGGCTTGCAAAGGCTTGCAAAACAGTCAGTGTCAAATTAGTTTAGAACAAAGTTAGAGTGACCTCAACTAGATCAATGCGATAGCATACCCCACATTCATAACAGAACTTTATTTGTTTGAAATCACCCTTCACAAAATACAGATATTATAAAGGTAATTTAAAGATTTTTTTGTCTACATAAAATTAAAGCTGGTCCTAAGTCCTCACACAGCAGTGTTGTTAAGACATACTATGTGACTTAGTACTGGCTCCTACATTCCCATTGGCTTGTAAGAGCATCTCAGGGTTTACGTGCCCCCATATGGCAACAGTCATGTTAATTATTATTTTAACCACTAGTGCCACAGGTGAACATGAATCCTCTAAAATTTGTGGGGCATTGATGTGTTCAGATCTGGTTGTAGTAGCTTAGGGCAGTTGGATCAAACAACAAACCTGACCAGAAGGGAAAACTGCTATTGACCTGGCTCATGGTGTTCAACTTCTAAGTCATCCATCAACTCTTTCCCCATCTGGGCTGCTGCATGCATCAAAGACACATGCATGGCTTTTGTCGACCCTCCCTGTTTCCCAGATCTTCAGGAAGCCCAGTCTCTGTTCAGGTCATTACACTCCCTTCTAACCATCTAAACACTAGACATTTCCCAGTCTCTTTCTAGAGATGCCTATTTTAATTTCTTTGTGTACTCAACCTTCTTATCAAAGAACTCAGTGAGTTTTTTCTTCAATTGTACTGATGAATGTGAAGGCAACTTAAAATTTTCCTAAAAGGGATTAATAACGACCTTAGACCTTGAACACAAAACTCAGCTAAGCTTCTAAGATGAAGGTAAAAGAGAATATTTGTTATTCTTTTGCTCCTACACCAGCAAGACCAATGCAGAAATTAATCCTTATATCCTGCCACAGAATAGCTGGCTCACACATACAGATAACAAAAGGTCACACTCTTTGAGAGCTCACCCTGGGTAGGATTGTTTTTAGTGCTTTATAACTATTGACTTCACATATACTTACATTACATATGTTAACTCATGTAATCCTCACAAGATTCCAATGAAGTAGATAATGTTGTTATTACCATTTTATGAATAAGTAAATTGAGGGAGTGACTGGTTAACCTACTTAGCCAGATCCCATGCTAGTAAATGATAGAGCTGAGATTTGAACCCTAGCAGTCTGATGCCAGTGTTATGGCTGTTACCCACCATATTAAGTTGTCTCCCCAAAGATCTCTAGTGAAGACTGAATTTTAAAAGGTCAGGTATTTTTCATTCACTATTTTCTTTATTTGCCAATAGCATCATCTTTTTTCCTTCATTGGAATTTGACTTTTTATGAAATGAATATTTACAGAGTGTTTTCTGTGAGCCTGGTACTAACTATGCAATTTTACAGGTATTATTTATTTTGACCCTCCTAGCCCTGTCTTGTAGGTGATATTACTTCTGATTTATAGCTAAGAAGCTGAGATGAAGACTCATTATTATTTTTCATCTAGTCCTAAACCCTCAAGTAAAGATTTCTCTCCTTTAATTATATAAAGACAGCATTCTGCTGTCTCGGATTCTGCTGCACTGAGCTCCAGTAGCATTTTGCTGTTTTCTTTGCATTATCATATTTTCATAGATTTCACTATACCCATCCTCAAAGTATGATTTTGATAATTATTAAAACCATTGGTGGAAGATAATTAAAATGCTTAAAAACTACAATTTAATTTTTTTAAAAAAACAAATTATTTTTAGCTTTGGTAGCTAAGGTGTTAAAAGGAAAAAAAGTAAAAAAAAAGTTCCTATTGTTTTTTAGTATATTTGATAAACAAATAAGTCTATATTATGCTGTTTAAGCTAATAAAATTCATGTTTTTAGTAAGGAACTGGTTACATATTATGGTACTAATGACTGATGTTGACATCTGCCACTCAAATTTTTCTGGGTTATGCTCTTACTCAGGATGTTGGGTACTTAAGGTGATGTGGACTGTCTTAATGGTGAATCTACCTTATTAGAAGATCCTTAGGCTTAATTTCTCTCCAAAGTAAATATTTTCATGAGTCTACATTTATCTGTTTTTTTTTTCACTGACTCTTAGATAATATAAAGAATAGAAACAACATATGAAAAATACGTAGTCTGTGTCCCACATTGGATTCCGTGATCCCTGTTTTCCTCTTGTGCCTCTGGTTCCTTTTTCATAAATAACTCTTGCTGAAATCTCCTCTACCCTAAATCTGAGTTCTGGATTTTCTCAGGGTTATAGTTGGCCCTTTTTTCTTTTCATTCTATTTTCTCTCCATGGGTTCTTTCATTTAGTCACATGAGTTCAATTTCTGTCTGTATGACGATGGTTTCCAAGTTCCTATCTCTAGCTTCTACCTTTCCTCTGAATACACAATCATATTTCTCAACCTATATTATATCTGTATTTGGATAACTTTCAGGTATCTCAAACTCAACATACTGAAAACTGAATGAATACCTTTCTCTCAGTATTTTCTTACTCGTCATATTGTAGCACGGTCCATCTAATTGTTCCTGCCAAAAACATTCTTAGCACTTCTCTTACCTGCACATCCACAGAACCACTAAATATAGTGAATTCCAACTTCTAATTAACTTTTTTAGCTCTTATTTTCTATCCATTTCCACTGGCACATCTCTAGTTCAATGCAATCTCACCTTTCTCTGGCACTCTGCAATTGTCCTGTAAATGCTTCACACACACAAAAAACACACTTTTACCTCCTTCTGATTCATTATTCATACAGCAGACAGAATGATCTTCCAAAGACAAGCCTAATATTGTTACTCTTTTGATTAAACCTCTATGTCTTTCTGTTGCTCTTACAATAAAGTTCAAAAACTCTTACAATGGTCCACAAAAGTCTACGTAATATGATCCCTATTCACATCCTCAGCGATTATGTCATTTTCTCTTTTTCCTTATGCTTCAACCACGGTGTCTTTCTCCCACCCGTTATTTGTTTAAATTAATGTAGCTCTTCCTACGTGGTATCTCCAGGGAGTAGAAGATAGCATACAGCAATGCTATATAGGTGACTTTTAAGAAATTTAGTGATCATTCTAGTGTACATTTTTTATTAAAAAAATAGCATGCATTTAATTTATAAAATTACTTATGTTATTTACAGAAAAGACAAATTGGGTTATGACTAAATTTAATAAAGTGTGGACTTTGTTTTTTTTTCATAATGAGTACATGTAAGTCCCACTAATATATGTATAATTCTGTCAATTGTATCCAAAGTTGCATTTCATTATTAAAATTGAGTGCTCCTTCTACCTTATCCTAATACAGTTTGATTTGTGATCACTAGTAGTGTTTTGCATTTTCTAGAATTCCTTATCAGCACAGTCTTTTTTCAAACTGTGGTTCAGTGTGACTTTTGCACTTTTTTCCTCCTTGAGCTTTTCTTTTTCACTTTGATGTGTTATCAGTGCTCTAGGTGAGCATTACCTTGCAGTTTTTCTGCCAGATCGAGTATAATAGCTACCTGGAGGTTTAAGTTAGGGAGAAGGATGTGGGGAAAAAACTTGTAGACAGAGACTAGAAAATATTTCCCCCTCCAAATTGAATCTTATTTCCACACATCTGTCGATTGACTGTTCTTCTGCTACTCATGGCTTTTAGTGAGAGAAGTTGCTTGAAGGTCAGACAGGTATACTAAGCCAGTTGACACATTCTCATAAGTTAAGGGTAATGAATTAAACACTCAAAGGAAGAGCGACCACCATTGCCCTGCCTCTGTCCTATTACAAAGTTTAGTCTCTACGAGAAGTTAATCAACTTAAGAAAAGTTGAGGTTGCATAATGTAGTGGCTACATGACTAGGGAGTTCAGTTTCCTCATATATATTAAGGTAATATTAATACTCACTTCATGGTACTGTGATAATAGTACAATGGAATAAAAAATATTGTGTTTGGCACACAGTGTACGCTCAATAGATTAGCTCTTTTCTCCCGACCTCCCAACTTTATCATCCAGAAATGTTTTTTCAGAAGCTCTTCTTTGCCCAAAACTTGGAGAGTGTGGGGTTTTGTTTGTTGGGGATTTCATTTCCCTCAATAGCTCAATAAAAGTGTATTGGGATTTTCTTTGTCCATTCATTGCATGAAAATTGTTCTTTCTTTAAGACCTATCTTGGCATTGATATGCATCCATTATACGGGCCTGGGGTTAATATGGAGCTAAAAAAGCACTACATATCACATAGCAAAACTGCCTAAAATCATGATTAGGCATTTTTCCCCAAGTCACACTTACCAAAATAGTGGCTCTTTAACAACTCTTCTGAAATTTGTACCTGCTGCATCTAAGTTCTTCCCTATTTGTTGCTGCCTGTCTCCCTGTTTTCCCCTTTTTCTTTCCCTGTGAAATAAATATTTGTGTGCCTCCAAAATGTATATGTTAAAATCCTAACCCCCAATGTGATGGTATTAGGAGGTAAGGCATTGGGAGGTAATCAGGTCATGGGAGTTGAGCCCTCATGAATAAAATTCGTGTTCTTATTTATACACAAGAGAGCCTACTTTCCTCCCTCTCTGCTCTCTGCCATGTGAGAATACAGTATAAAGATGACATAGACTTAAGAGGGCATTATTTTTGTTACCTTTCTCAACAACTCGTAGGACACTGACAACCAAAATTACCCACCCCCAGCTAGGAAGAGGGTCCTCACCAGAACCTGACCCATTCTGACACTGTGATCTTGGACTTCCAGCCTGCAAAACTATGAAGAATAAATTTCTCTTGTTTACAAGCCACCCAGTCTACAGTACTTTTTTATAGCAGCCCAAATTGACTAAGGTGCCTTTCCCTCTCTTCTCTGTCAATAGATCTTTTCCTGCCTTCAGTACATTTTCTTTCCTCCTGTATGCATTTTTAAATTCTTTTTATGTAAATAAAATTAAAGCTTGGCCATTTCCCCATTCCTTTTCTCCACTTACACATCTCTTATCTGAACTAAGAAAGGTCCAGGTGATCCTTAAATGGAATTTTCTTTAGCAGGTAGAAAGAGAGGAAGCCTGAGAGGACTTCTATCTTTCCATTATAGTATTTGCTTTACTATGTCCCTAAAAGCTCCTACCAGCTATATAATGATCTAGGTTAAAATTCCTAAATGTACACTTCAAAATATCAATCTCTTGATTTCCCCTTCCCACATATAAATGCATTTTTTTTTGACAGAGTCTCACTCTGTTGCCCAGGCTGGAGCGCAGTGGTGCAATCTCAGTTCACTGCAACCTCCACCTCCTGGGTTCAGGTGATCCTCATGCCTTCAGCCTCCCAAGTAGTTGGGATTACAGGCATGCAGCACCACACAAGCTAATTTTGTATTTTTAGTAGAGTCTGGCTTTCACCATGGTGGCCAGGCTGGTCTTGAACTCCTGACCTCAGGTGATCCACCTGCCTCGGCCTCCCAAAATGTTGGGATTACAGGTGTGAGCCACCGTGCCCAGCCATTTAAATGCGTTCTTTATATTCACTGGTGTCTGCCCTTCCCTGCAAGCATAAAGCCTTTGCATCATATATTATGTAATTTACTCTGTCCTTTTAAATACATCATCTTCCCCATTTTATTTTCAAAACTCTCTTAATAGTCATTTTCTTTATTAAACACTGTCAGTGAATTTTACCTGACTTTCCTTTTTATTTCTGCTTCTGTACAGCAGGACATTTTGAACATCATTTTATGCAATCAATAAATTGCTAATGATATGTGCTCTACTGAGTAATATAGTCAGATTCTATTTTTAAAAGCACAAAGACATTTGTTATCAAATATAATTTCACTCAATATTTTTGCTGATGTATATTAATTATAAGTATTAGCTGCCTCTGTCTAATTTACCTGTTGTGCAGGTCTCAATTTTTACATCATACATCTAAGTTGGTTTTACCTGACTATAATTTTTAGGCTATAATTTCATTTTAGAGACACTTCTTTGAAGACATAGACTTAGGAATGCATTATTTTTGTTACCTTTCTCAGTAAATCGTAGGACACTGACAACCAAAATTACCCACCCCCAACGCAGTTTACTGTCTACTTAACATGACTTTATTTTTCCATTTCCTTCAGTAGCATAACCTTACCATTCCAGGACACTTTTGCTAAGGGAAACTTCCTGAAAGTCTGGTCAATTCTTCAGAAGAGAAGCACCCTCCTGGTTAAACTCTAAAATTCTCCAAAGCCTTAGTTTCAAAATTCTCACCCTGCTGTTTTCAGTAATTCTAAACTGTGATTTATGACCTTACATGATTCTAATCAATCCCCCACATTGAAAGATCCAGCTTAAACCAAACTTCAAATTCTTGATAAATTCTGACCTTGCCTTTTTCCCTCTGAGACACTAAGAAAACTTTGCCATGTTGGTATTCTTCTTTACCATGGTGAGCGAAAAACTCAGAGTTATCTTGGCAGAGGTTGTGTTGGTGAAATTTGAGAAGCCAGTATTCTACAGCACTTTACACATAGGGAATGCTACATACATTAAGTTAACAAACGAAAACACTCAGTATTTCCTAGACAATAACCCTTTATAAGCCTGGTAATTCTAATATATTAATATATTTGGACTCTGAAAGTTGGAAATTGGAACATAGACATCGTGGTTTAAGCTGACACAGACCTATTTAATGTTAGTGTTTAAATGCTAAATAACAGTGACTGTTAAACGTGACAGAACAGCTTGTATTTCACTTTGTGATTGGGGTGCACTTTGATGCTTGTTTTATGAAAGGCTTTATAAGTTACAGTCAGAGGTTAACAGTAATCACATTTGTTTCCTCCTCTGGCTTTAATAAATGCTTTTAGGGCATTTCATTCTGTTAGGCAGTAGACAAAAATGTAATGCTCTGCTAAACTCTATAAAGTATGTGAAAATTTTAGTTCATAAAATATGTATGAAGAACACAGTGTTACAATGATAATGTTACTTCCTGTCTAGGTTCTTCTGTCAAAGGAATTGGTGCATTAAGGTCTCTAGTCCTTGATTTCTTTTGACTGGAGTTACTCTTAGTTCATTTTATATCAGTTACTTCAATGAACTGTCTATTAGCATACATTTATAAATATATACAATAGTTATTTAGACCTATTTGTCATGGCTTTAAATGATCAGTATTAGGAACTATTACACATAATATTCTTCTGTAGAAAGGTAATATTTAAAATGTTAATCCATGCATATGGAGATATCAAAGTTGTATGTATATGAACAAAAAATAAGTCATTGTTTTGAACTAATACCATCATGATAAATGTGAATTTATATGGGATAGTTTCTTATATACACATTCTTTGTTAAGACCTTCATTGTCTTTTAGGCAAATTTGAGCTGTACATTCTCCATAATGTATCCTTACTTTTTGATAAAAAACGTGAAACCCTAGCTTCTGTTTCTTCACTACTCACTTGTTACAATATCTCCGCCGCAGACAGTTACACTATTAGATGGTGTCTTTAGAATTGTAAATATGCTAACCCATTTGAAAACATAGCAAAACTTAATTGATATGGGTGTCACTAATTTAGAATTTGTGAAAAATAAGATAGGAACATGGATAATATTTTGATAAATTCTTCCTTCATAATAGGTATGTTTAATTTTAAAATGCTTTTTAAAAAGTAAGTAAACAAAACTTTAAATTTGCTCTGAAACAGTAAAGGCAAGAGTAATAGCAGGATCAGAAGAAAAACAAGTCTTCCTGACTGTGTAGTAAAGAAGAAACCTTACCCAAAGAAAGGTCTGGCTTTCGCCTTCAGCTCCCGAGAGATAATCTCTAGGTCCTTGGAATGTCCTGCCAGATAAGAGTATCTTGGATCTCCTGTTGCCTGTTTCAGCAGCCTGAGCTGCCCCACATTTCCTGTGCAGAGATCCTGGTGCCAGGAGGCCCTCTCTCCTTCATGCCCAGGTGGGTCTCCAGTCATTTGGAGCGCCTGCTCACCTGGATCAGCAGTCTGAGCCACTCCACCATTCCTGGATATAGATCGTGGTGTAGGTGGGCCTTCTCCACTCCATGCCTAGGCAGATCTTCAGACTCTTGGAGCACACACTCTTCTGTATTAAGAGTTTAGGTCACCCTCATCCCTGTGCAGAGAACTCGGGGCCAAGATGGTTTCCCAGCTCCATGCCTAAGCACACATCTTGATGCTTGGTGGCCACCCACTGGATTTTCTCTTGGCACTGGTACCTGTGCTTGTTACCAGGGACCTGTAGGTGGACTTGCCTGGTCCAGCTCTGTCCATCTTGGCCCACACACACCTTGGGGCTGAGTAGACCACTGTGCACTCCATGAATCAGCCCATTGACTAAGGCAACAGAGTGCTTCCCGTAGAAAGCATGGAACAATTACATACCCAGCCATAGCCTACTGTTACCTATAGACACCATCTACTGGCTTGTAGGTCAAACTGCACAGCCTAATATAAAACCAGTAGACAAAAGTGCATTGGGCTATAGAAACAAAGCCAAAAGACCCTATCCAGCATCCTCTATAGTCACACACCCTAGGGATTGGAGAGAGAAGGAAAGGGAAAGGAAAAAAAAATTATAGGGATGGAAATAGAAAGAAAAAAAATCCCACTCACATAAAATATTTACAAAAATTTCAAGTGTCGGCATCTCTAGATGAAAAGTAACCAGTGCAAGAATTCTGGCATCATAAAAGCCTGAATGTAGTGACACCACAAAGGATGACAATAGCTCTTCAGCAATGGTCCCTAACCAAAATGGAAACTCAGGAAGGTCAGACCAAGAATTCAAAGCATGGATTGCAAGGATGCTCAATGAGATACAAGACAAGGTTGAAAATCAACACATAGAAAATTCTAAAGCAATCCAGGAAATGAAGGGATAGATGAACATCTTAAAAAAATTAATGAGAGCCTCTGGAATTGAAAAACTCTCTATGGAATTTCAAAATACAATTAAAAGCTTTATCAATAAACTGCATCAAGCAGAAGGAAGAATTTCAGAGCTTGAAGACCAGTCTTTTAAACTAACAAGTCAGATAGAAATAAAATAAAAATAATTTTATAAAACCAACAAAGTTGTTGAAAAACATGGGATTATGTAAAGCAACCAAACCCATAAATTATTGGCATTCCTGAGAGAAAAAGAAAAAGTAAACTACCTGGAAAACATATTTGAGATAATAATTCAATAAAATTTCCCCAATTTTGCTAGCAGGTTAGACATCCAGATACAAGAATCCAGAGAATACCTGTGAGACATGATATAAAATGAACATCACCAAGTCATAAAGTCACCAGTCTTTGCTATGTCAACACCAAAGAAAAAAAACCTTAAAGGCAGCTAAAGAAAAAGTTCAGATCACATCATGTATAAAGGGAACCCCATCAGGCTGATAGCAGACATCTCATCAGAAACCTTACAAGCCGGGATAAATGGTCTATTTTCAGCATTCTTAAATAAAAGAAACTACAACCAAGAGTTTTGTATCCTGCCAAACTAAGCCTCATAAGCGAAGGAGAAATAATTTTTTATTTTATTTTTTTTACCAACAATCAGGTGTTAAGGAAATTCTTTACCACTAGACCAATGTTACAAGAGATCCTGGAGGGAATTCTAAACATGGAAATGAAAGAATGATATCTACTACTGCAAAGACAGATTTAAGTACCTTAGTCAAGGACCCTATAAAGAAACCATACACTAGAAACTACAAAGAAACCAGTTAACAACCTCATGGTAGGATCAAAACCTTACATATCAATAGTAACTGTCAATGTAAATGGTCTAAATGCCCCCACTTAAAAGGCACAGAGTGGCAAGTAGGATAAAAGAAGACCTATCTGTCTGTTGTCTTCAAGAGAGTAATCTTACATGTAATGATACCCATAGACTCAAAGTAAAGGGTTGGAGAAGGCTATACCAGGCAAACTGAAAACAAAACAAAACAAAAAGTAGTTGTTGCCATTCTTGTATCAAATAAAACAGATTTTAAACCAACAGCAGTAAAAAAGGACAAAGAAGGGCATTACATAATGACAAAGGGTTCAATTCAACCAGAAGACTTAACTATCCTAAATATTTGTGCATCCAGCATTGGAGCACACAGATTCAAAAACAAATACTTATAGATCTAAGAAAAGACTTAAAAAGCCACACAATAACAGTTGGGGGCTTTGACACCCCACTGAGAGCACCAGACAGATAATCAACGCAGAAAATTAACAAAGAAATTCTGCAATTAAATTTGACACTTGATTAATTTGAACAAGTAGACATCTACAGAATACCCCCCACCCCTCATCCACAGAATATACAGTCTTCTCATCTGCACACAGAACACAATAAAAGATTGAACACATGCTTGGTTATAAAGTAAGTCTCAATAAATTCAAAAAATCAAAATAATTCAAGCCATAGTTTTGGACCACAGTAAAATAAAAGTAGAAATCAATCCCAAGGAGACCTCTCAAAACCCTACTATTACATAGAAATTAAACAACTTGCTTCTGAATGACTGTTGGGTAAACAACAAAATTATGGCAGTAATGAAAAAAATTCTATGAAATAAATGAAAACAAAGACACAACATACAAAAATATCTGGTATACAGTGAAAGCAGTGTTAAGAGAAAGTTTATAGTGCTAAATGTCTACCTCAAGAAGTTAGAAAGAACTCAAGTTAACAATCTAACATGATACCTAGAGGAACTAGAAAAACAAGAGTAAACTAACTCCAAAACTCTAAGAAGAAACCGAATGACTAAAAGCAGAGCATAACTGAACAAAATTAAGACCCCAAAATCTATACAAAGAATCAACAAAACCAAAAGTTGACTTTTAAAAGGATAAACAAGATCAATAGAACACTAGCTAGATTCACAAGAAAAAGAGAAGATTCAAATAAGCACATTTAGAAATACACAAGGTGTCATTACAGTGGATCCCACAGAAATATAAAAGATTATCAGAGACTGTTATAAACATCTTTATGAACATAAATTAGAAAATCTAGAGGAAATGGATAAATTCCTGGAAACAAACAATATCCCAAGAGTGAATTGGGAAGAAACTGAACCTCTGACAGACCAATATCAAATTCCAAAAATAAATTAGTAATAGAAAACCTGCCAACCAAAAAAAAAAGCCCTGGTCCAGATGGATTCACAGCTGAATTCTACCAGACATACAAAGAAGCGCTGGCACCAATTCTATTGATACTATCCCCAAAAATCGAGGAGGAGTCCCTAACTCAATCTGCAAAGCCAGCATCATCTAGATACTAAAACCTGGCAGAGACACAATGAAAAAAGAAAATCACAGGCCAATATCCCAGATGAACATAGACACAAAAATCCTCAACAAAATACTAGCAAACCAAATTCAGCAGCACATTAAAAGCCAATTCACCATGATCAAGTAGGCTTTATTCTTGGGATGCAAGGTTGGTTCGACATACAAAAATCAATAAATGTTCTTCACTGCATAAACAAAATTCAAAACAAAAGCCATATCATTATCTCAATAGATGCAGTAAAAAACTTTTGATAAAAAACTTTTGATAAAAGGATCCCTACCTTTTGACATATACAAAAATTAACTCAAGATGGATTACATATTTAAATGTAAGACCTCAAACTGTAAAAATTTTAGAATAGAACCTATAAACACCATTCTGGATTTGGCCTTGGTAAAGAATTTATGATTAAGTCCTCAAAAGCAATTGCAACAAAATCAAAAATTGACAGGTGGAACCTAATTAAATTAAAGAGCTTCTGCATGACAAAAGCTCCTATCAACAGAGTAAACAGACAACCTACAGAATAGAACATATTAACAAACTAGGAATATGACAAAGGCCTAACATCTAGAATCTATAAGAAACATAAGGCTGGGCACGGTGCCTCACGCCTGTAATCCCAGCACTTTGGGAGGCTGAAGTGGGCAGATCACCTGAAGTCAGGAGTTCGAGACCAGCCTGCCCAACATGGCTAAACATCATCTCTACTAAAAATACAAAAAATTAGCCAGGCATGGTGGCAAGCACCTGTAATCCCAGCTATTCTGGAGGCTGAGGCAGGAGAATTGCTTGAACCCATGAGGTGGAGGTTGTGGTGAGCTGAGATTGCACCACTGTACTCCAGCCTGCGCAACAAGAGCAAAACTCTGTTCTCAAAAAAAAAAGAGAAACTTAAATAATTTAATTCAACAAGCAAAAAACAATCCCATTAAAATGGGCAGAAGACATGAACAGATACTTCTCCAAAGAAGACATAGAAGTGGCCAAGAAACATATGAAAAAATGTTGCATGTCACTAATCATCAGAGAAATGCAAATCAAAACCACAATGAGATACCATCTGACACCAGTCTGAAATGCCTATTACTAAAAACTCTAAAAACTACAGATGCTAGTGAGGCTGTGGAGAAAAGAGAATGCTTACACGCTGTTGGTAAGAATGTAAATTAGTTCAGCCACTGTGCAAAGCAGTTTGGAGATTTCTCAAAGAACTTAGAACTATCCTGTGACCCAGCAATCTCATTACTTGGTGTATATCCAAAAGAAAATAAATTGTTCTACTAAAAAAGATACATGTACTCACATGTTCATTGCAGCACTTTTCACAATAAAAAGACATGAAATCAACCTAGGTGCCCATCAATGGTGGATTGCCTTGAGAAAATGTGGTACATATAAATTATGGAATACTACACAGCCATAGAATGAAACAAAATGATGTCCTTTGCAACAACATAAGAGAAGCTGGAGACCATTATGCTAAACAAATTAATGCAGGAACAGAAAACAAAATACAACATGTTCTCACAAGTGGGAGCTAAACATTGGGTAACATATGGACCTAAAGATGGTAATAATAGAAACTGGGGACTACTAGATGGGGGAGGTAGGAAGGGGGACAAGGGGTGAAGAATGAACTATCGAGTACCTGTGTGGTGGGATCAATCACACCCCAAACCTCAGCATCATGTAACATATGCATGTAACAAACCTGCACATGTACCTGTAAATCTAAAACAAAAGTTGAAATTATTTTCAAAAAGTGTCTTTTTTTTTTTTTTTTACCTGGGGTCCTTGGGCCACACAAGATAGTCTGATGATGTGATTTATAATGAGGACTTTGGGCCACATGGTGTCAGCTTGATCAGGAGATTAAAGGTCAGCCACATGGGCAGTGAACTATGTCCATGTGCAGAAGCCCTAATAAAAACTCAAATAGACGCAAAGCTCAGATGAGCTTCCCTTGCTGTCAATACTCTATGTATATTGTCACACATCATTGTTGCAAAAAGTTAGGCTGTCCATGACTCCACTGGAAGAGGACAGTGGGAAGCTCTGAATAGGGAACTTTTATGGATTCGTCCCATGCTTTTCTTCTCATGATTGATTTTAACCTGTATTTTTTATCTGCAATAAACTTTAATGATCAGTATAACAACTTTCAGTGATTTCTGTGAATCTTTCTAACAAATTATCAAACCTAAAAATGGTCTTGAAGATCCTGAACCTGTAGTTGGTATCAGAATTGATGGTGGTCTTGGAACTTCCTTCTAACTTTGTTTTGGGAATTTATTAAAATGAGCCTTCCAGAGACCTAGAAAAAACAGCATTTTCCCACTTTAAGGTTAATTTAAGATGGTAATTTATAATCTTTATATTTTCCTAAATCAGAATGGTTTGTAATTTAGTTTTAATTACTAATGTTTTCTGAATATTATGGACTTTCATATTATAAATATACAATAGTTTATATAGTATTAAGGTAACATTTTTGATGCTACCACCATGTGCAAATTAGAATAGTGTAAGAATGTCTGATATTTATTTCACTTTAATTAGAAATTTTCAAAACTTTGTGTGATAGTTCACTCTTAAGACCTTCAGAGTCAAAGCCACATAGGGCTGTCCCCTCATATAGATAGCGCAATGCATTATTTTATGGCAGTTGGCTAATGATATCTTCATCATATAAAAAAGAAATGTCAAGATATCATTTTAACTTTTTATATACATGTGCCCATTCCTTGCTCTTGGTTATTGATCAAATTTATTTTTAAACTGAGACTTAAAGGAAAATATGCTGACATTTGGGCTTGGTGTCTGCCACCATGGCTTTGTAGTACCTGATAATTACTTAAGCTTTCTTACCATCAAATTCTCCAAAAGCTGGACAATTTGTTTATGGACAATCCCTGATCTCACACCTATTGTATAATCTACCTCTGTATTCACATCGCCGCTTTTTCCATAATTGTATGTATCCATATAATTGCATGATAAACTCATAGTTGTCTGCCATTGAGATGAAAAGAAAAGATCATCAGAGCAATTGGGTCAGAGTAATTTGATGAAGAATGTACTATTTCTGAAATGTTTGGAGGCTTAAAGAAGAATTTTTTATAAGTCGTTAGCTATATTTTTAAGGCAATTTCTCTGAGAAACAGGGAAGCCTGAGAAAAGGAAATGCCAGTAAGGGACAAATTATTTAACAGGGATCCTTTGTAGGTGACCACGTTCTTATTCAGAATCAGTGATTTGTTGTATTTCAAGACCCAGGCTTTGGGGTATTAAAGAGGACAGTTGATTTCGTTATTATTATTTTTTCAGTCTTGCTACAGGGAAGGACCTTGTATTAAGATGTGAGGGATCTTGATATCTTAATAACTTAGAAGATTTGTTTTGAACTTCCTTTCCCCAGTACATTCAAGTGATGTAGCAGGTACATGGTTTAGGAAATTGGAATTGAAATGGGCATGTGTGTGCACATGCATATATGTGCACATAGTTAAAAAGACTTTGAAAGATTATAAGTTAAAGATTTGTTGTAGGGAGAAAAAAGTCAATAAGAATTTTATCAGGAAAAATGGAAACACTAGAAATCTGTATGATGTACATATTAGTCATTATTGGTTAATTATATTAAATTAAAAGTTATGTTTACCATAAAGAAAACAATAAAAATATAGTTTGGAGTAGATTATTCAATTATTGTTCACATACATTGGTATCAGTCAAAGGAGAAAGACATTTTGTTGTTTTACTCAGCTGTGAATGAGAATTTTGAAAACTGTATGGATCATTTTAATTTCAGGCAATGCAAATGATACACATGGATAATGGCCTAAATCAGATCTGGAAATGTTAGGATATGCTTACTTATTCAAAATTTGGTTTTGGTTAACTTTATAATGAAGGCTGAATTTACTGAGTAAATTAAAAATAATCATGGAGCATTGGAGAGGATTATCTAAGCAAATAGGAGACTGCTCTTTTCCAACAGAGGAATGGGAAGATCAAGAATTATGAGTTAAAGAAAGTTGTTCTTTCTTTTCCATGGCTTAGGTCAGGCTGACAATTTTTTTTTTATTATTATAAATGGTCAATGCTCCCAATCACAGTTATAAGCATACCTTATCACAAAATGACTATAATTCAGATTGAGTTATTTATTCCATTTTCATGAGGGAGGCAGGGGAAGAAAAAATATAAAGTGACATAAGTAACACAGCCTGACACAGCAAATGGTAATGGAATAAGTGCTATAGCTAAAGTACTCCTTTTTGTGTGGATTCTTTTAAAAAGTTTTATTAAAATCTTCATGAATAGAAATTAATAATTAAACTACTAGTATTTTCCCCTAACTTAACTAGTTAGCCTGCAATGTAGTTCTGGCATTATTTACCTGCAGTTAGCATAGACTCCACAGGTTTTGGGAACTGTCCTCCACAAGACTCCTCTTTCTTCAGACACCTACCGCAAGTGCCAAGGATCTGTAGGCCACACGCAATTGTGACTAACTAGCTACAAACTCAGAGGTCTCCACTACCCCCTTAGATTGAATAATTCACTAAAATGACTCACGTGACTCAGGAAAGTGCTATACTTATAATCACAGTTTTATTATAAAAAGGATATGAATCAGGACCAGCCAAGTGAAGAGACACAGAAGGTGAGGTCTTGGAGAATCCCAAAGGAGAAGTTTTTGATGTCCTTGCATGAATCTAGGACAAATGCCAGGCAAGTTCTTTATTATGCAACATTCCCTAATATTTTGTTTTCTGGCTGTATTGGTTTTTATAAGAAAACTTATTTTTCTAGGTACACATATGCTACATGTATCTTCTTTTTTTTTTTTTTTTTTTTTTTTTTTGAGATGGTGTCTCACTCTGTCGCCTAGGCTGGAGTGTAGTGGCGCGCGATCTCAGCTCACTGCAAGCTCTGCCTCCCAGATTTGCGCCATTCTCCTGCCTCAGCCTCCCGAGTAGCTGGGACTACAGGCATGTGACACCACTCCCGGCTAATTTTTTGTATTTTTAGTAGAGACGGGGTTTCAATGTGTTAGCCAGGATGGTCTCGATCTCCTGACCTCGTGATCCACCTGCCTCGGCCTCCCAAAGTGCTGAGATTACAGGTGTCAGCCACCGTGCCCAGCCTCTTCGTTTCTTTTTAAAACTTTCTTTCTCATACTGCGATCAATATAACCAAGAAACCAAAGTAGTAATCTTGTCTCAAATAATTCCTACCTGAATTTTCCATCCTGGTGGAATCCTTATTATTATTATTTTTGCTACTTTCCAGTTTTTGATCATTTGTATTCCATCTGATATAGTTTGGATATATGTCTCCACCCAAATCTCATGGGGAAACATAGTCCTCAATGTTGGAGTTGTGGCCTGGTGGGAAATGTTTGGGTCATGAGGACTGATACCTCATGGCTTGGAGCTAACTTTGTGATATTGAGTGAGTTCTCATGAGATCCGGTCATTTAAAAGTGTTTGGCCCCTCTTTCCCCACTCTCATTTTCTCCTGCTTTAGCCATATATGGTGTTCCTGCTTCCCCTTTGCCTTCCACCCTGATTGTAAACTTCCTGAAGCCTCCCTAGAAACAGAACAGATGCTAGCCCCAAGCTTCCTGAAAAGCCTGCAGAACCATGAGCCAATTAAACCTTTTATTTTAACAAATTACCCAGTCTCAGTTACTTCTTTATAGAAGCACAAGAATGGCCTAATGCAGAAAATTGGTACTGAGGAGTGGGGCAAAAAGATACCTGAAGATGTGGAAATTACTTTGGACCTAGGTAACAGACAGAGTTTGGAAGAGTTTGGAGGGCACAGAAGACAGGAAGATGAGGGAAATTTTGGAATTTCTTCGAGAGTGTTTAGATGGTTGTTACAAAAATGCTGATAGTGATGTGGACAAGGAAGCCCGGACTGACAAGGCCTCAGTTTGAAACATGGAACTTTCTGGAAACTGAAGCAAAAGTCACACATGTTATGCCTTAGCAAAGAATTTGGCTGCATTCTGTTCAAGCCCTAGAGATCTATTGAAGTTTGAGCTTCAAAGTGAAGATTTAGGGTATCTGGTGGGAGAAATTTCTAAGCAGCAAAGTGTTTAAGAAGAGGTGTGACTGCTTTTAATAGCCTATCTCAGATGCAGGAGCAAAGAAAGAAGTTAGAACTTATATTTAAAAAGAAAGAAAAGTGTAAAAGTTTGAAAATTTTGCAACTGTTAAGTGGCAGAGACGGAAAAAGCTTTTTTTGGGAGAGGAATTCGGTGAAGCTGCGGAGAAACTACTTGCTAGAGAAATTAGCATAAATAGAAGGGATCCAAGTGCTGACAACCAAGACAATGGGGAAAAGGCCTCGAATGGCCCTCCCATCACAGGCCCAGTGGACTAGGAGGGCAAAATGGTTTCCAGGACCAGGGCCTCACACACATGCACAGCCTCAAAACAATGCTCCCAGAATCCTGGCTGCTCCAGCTCCAGCTTTGGCTCAAAGCAGCCTAGGTACAGCTCAGTCTGCCCCTTTAGAGGATGCAAGCCATAAGTTTGGTGTCTTCCATATGCTATTGAGCCTGTAGGTGTGAAGAATGCAAACGTGAAGAATGCTTGACAGCCTCCATCTAGATTTCAAAGGATGTATGAGAAAGCCTGGGTGCCCAGGCAGAAGCTTGCTGCAAGGGCAGAGCCCTCACAGAGAACCTCTACTAGGGCAGTGCCAAGAGGAAATGTGGGGTCAGAGACCCCACAAAGAGTCCCCACTGGGACACTGACTAGTGCCATCTAGCTCCCAAAATTGTAGATCCACTGGCAGCTTACACCCTGCATCTGGAAAGTCACAGGGACTCAGCAACCAGTGAGAGCAACTGTGAGGGCTGAACCCTGCAAAGCCACAGGGGTAGAGCTGCCCAAGGCTTTGGGAGCTGACCTCTTGCACCAGTATGGCCTAGATGTGGGATGTGGAGTCAAAGGAGATTATTTTGGAGCTTTAAGATGTAATGACTGCCCTGCTGGGTTTTGAACTTGCATGGGGCCTGTAGCCTTTCTTTTGGTTGATTTCTCCCTTTGGGAGCGGGAATGTTTACCTATTGTATTTTTTTAAAAATTTACCCCTTGTACCCCTTGTATCTTGGAAGTAAATAACTTGTTTGATTTTACAGGCTTATGGAAGGAAGGGACTTGCCTTTCTTTATCTCAGATGAAACTTTGGACTTTGAACTTTTGAGTTAATGCTGGAGTGAGTTAAGATTTGGAGGACTATTGGGAAGGCATGATTGTATTTTGCAATCAATGGGAGAAGGACATGAGATTTGGGAGAAGCTAAGGGCAAAATGATATAGGTTGGATGTATGTCCCTGACCAAATCTCACGTTGAAATGTAATCTCCAATGTTGGAGGTTGAGCCTAGTGGAAGGTGTTTGGGTCATTGGGTCATGGAGGTGGATTCCTCATGGCTTGGTGCTGTCCTTGCAATAGTCAGTGAGTTCCCATGAGATCTTGTCATTTAAAAGTGTATGGTACCTCCTCCCCACTGTCTCACTTTTTCCTGTTTTTGCCATCTGATGTGCCTGCTTCCCCTCCATTTTCTACTATGATCATAACATTTCTGAGATTTCCTTGGAAGCAGAGCAGATGCCAGGACCATGCTTCCTGAAAATCCTGCAGAACCATGAGCCAATTAAACCACTTTTCTTGTAATTACCCAGTCTCAGATATTTCCTTATAGCAGTGCAAGAACAGTCTAACATAACACCCCATAGTATTTTTTTTTTTTTGATGAGGTAACTGAACTCAGCTCCTGAGATAGTATGCTCAAGTCAGGCTTACTTAGATTTGGTCTGCCCAGTCTCCTGAGAAGCTGTGGTGAGGGCACAAATGTGTCTGTGTCATGGTGGAGGGGAGAGTCAAGACAGAGGCAGACTTTGTTTTGCTCTATTGCTCTATTTAAAGAGAGCAATCTTCTCTTGGCTGAATGTTGATTTTTTTCAAGCCCTTTGAATATGATTGATTCTTGAAGAAAGGAAACAACTAACAGGAAACTTTTAAAACTGATCATGATTCTTTGAAAATATATTTTTTTAAACTATACCTATGATCTATGGAAGAAAATGTCTTTCACAAAGTGAATTTGTTATAAAGCTCCATTATTCAAGGTCCAATAGTAACCTTCTACTTACAGCATTAAACCTCAACTTTTAAATCTATTATTGGAGGTCTAAATCAAGGTTTTACTGTCTTTGTTTTCTGATTATAGTATATAATAATAACTTTTAATCTAAGTGCACATAGACACACACATATGGCATTATTTATTGAACACCTACTGTGAGCACACATTGTGCCAAATACTGCAGAAAGTAGAAAAAATGAAAAATATTCACAAGAAAGAGGTTGAATTAAAGGAAAACTAATATCATACATTAAAAAAATGGAAAAGATTAGGTGCTGGATGAATATGAAATTAGTGGCCGTAGGTTTCCAAATAAAAACTTTTTGTTGTGTAACGTTTTTCAATTCCATCCTAGTAATGTTGTCAATGGCAATACCATTGCCTTGGCCAATTGTCCAGAGAGTAGTCTGGGGGGGAGAAAAAGTGACATAGATGATAACAGAGTGTTTGGCCATATACTTGCCATATATATATATATATATATATATATGCCATATATATACTTGCCATATATATATATATGGCCATATATACTTGCCATATATATATATGCCATATATATATACTATGCCATATATATGCCATATATATGTATATATGCATATATATACTATG